>NW_018654721.1:0-171798 GCF_000001405.40 Homo sapiens
GGCTGCAGGTGCATCCAGGAGGGTGGGGATCCTGCCTGCTCCATGGAATACACAGCCCCAGCCGCGCCTCCCGGCTGCAGCCAGCATTGTCAGAGAGGCTGCTCCAGATGGGCTGCCACTGCCATGAACAGGGCAGGACAGGGGTTCAGATGTTCATCATTGATAAGGAAAAAATGTCCAGGTTGGCCACTCCCAGATTCCCTAGCTTAGAACACACATTCAGATGCATCTGCCATACAGGGTCATTCTCAGGGTAGGCTTCACTTATTGCTCTCAGGTGTGTTTATGCTACACTAAGATTAGTGTGTAGGTTGACATTTGCATCTTCACCAGTCTGAAGGCCTGATGGTCACATCAGGTAGGGAGTATCAGGGACAAGAGCATGAATTCCCTAAGTGTCACTCTCACTTGTTTGTTCATTTTCAGCTGACACATTGTACAATGGTTAAGTAAAAGATTTCCCAATTATAATATTTAGCCTTAAGTAACTTCAAAAAATGGGTGTTGGTTCCCTGCCCAGATTCTACTTACTGGTCATGGTCCCCATTCCCTACATGCTGTGACTCTTGGCTGCTACCAGTTCATACCTGTATCTTTCTGTGAAGAACTGACCATAAATGATGGATGCTACCTAATCAGGAACATCACACTCTGCCACCACCCTCCTGCACTAACTCCAGGCGGCCCATAGCCCACGACTGAATAATACAGGAATACTAAAGCTTGCTTCCTTGCCTCAAGAAGAGACAAGTCCATGGTGCCATCCACACTCCAGAGCTGCTCATGGGATCAAAATGAAGATAGATTTCAACTGAACCCATGTCTTTGCCTAGCTTCTTCCTCTGTCCTATTCTGTTTCTCTCACTCCCTTACAGGTTTCAGCTGACATCACTCTCTCAAAAGAATCGCTGGCACAGGAATCTTCATCTCAAGTTCTGCTTCTTGAGAACATAGCCTGAAACAAGCGTATGATTTTAAAACAATCATGCAAAGAGGACAAGGATTGAAAAGATCAATAATGAAGATAAAAGCAACAACAACAAAATGGCAGAACTAGTTCTTTTCCTACTTCTGGTATAATTTCTTCTTAGCCAAAATATGTGATAAAAATGACAGTTTAATAAAACCTAACAAGATGTCAGTTAAAAGAGAACTACAAAGAGGACTAT
Organism: Homo sapiens; assembly: GCF_000001405.40. Taxonomy (NCBI): domain Eukaryota; kingdom Metazoa; phylum Chordata; class Mammalia; order Primates; family Hominidae; genus Homo; species Homo sapiens. Next base: position 1,170 of record NW_018654721.1, read on the forward strand.
TTGAAAAAAAAATTCTATCCACTTTCTTTTTTTTTTTTTTTCGAAATGGAGTCTTGCTCTGTCACCCGGCCTGGGCAACAGAGTGAGACCTTGTCTCAAGAAAATTTTTAAAAAGGCAGTATCTTCTGATATTAAGGAAGATGGGTATTTCTAGTGGAATTTCAATAAAAATTTTTCTATAAATAGGGTATAGGACTAAAAAATGAGTATCCTGATTTTTTACTACTTCTTTGAATCTTGGCATCTTTTTCAATTATGTTTCTCATCTATGATAGATATTAAAACCAATAATTAAGATAAATTGAATGTAAACCCATACCTCCTCAGCAGATCTGTAGAACTTATGTAAAAAAATAAAAATACAAAATAAATAAAACCAGACCTTCAAGCATCTTTATTTCCATGATATTAAACCAAGATTAAAAAAAAAAAATCTAACGGTGGCCGGCACAGTGGCTCACACCTGAAATCTCAGTGCTTGGGAGGTTGAGGCAGGAGGGTCACTTGAGGCCATTGGAGTTCAAGGTTGCAGTGAGCTATGATAATGCCACTGCATTCCAGCCTGGGTGACAGAGTGAGACATTGTTTCTTAAGTAAATAACTTTAATGATTACTATTTATAATTGTAGCAAAATATTTAAAAGTTATTAATAAATAAAGTAGTTGGAGTCTCCCTTACTTGCTGACTATAATAGAGAGTCAAAAGAGAAATGCCACATTGAGCCTTGGCCTTTCACATATTAATTCCACTCAAAACAGAAAGATGACTTAGTGGATGTCATATTCTCACCATTTTACCAAACACGTAAGTCATCAGGATCTATATCCTACAGCAAAAAAAAAATAAAAAAAATAAAAAATCAATAAAAACAGGTAAATCACTCTTGTACTCACAGAGGTGGGGAGAAGACAGCAGCTTCCCCCTTCAAACTTCCAAGAGGGCAGAAGTTTTGACAGATATTCCTAACTTACTAGCTGAAGCAAAAATGTACGAGAAAGAGAATGGGTTCCCTCAAAAACAAGAAAATCCCAAAGGTAGCTGGTTACATATATAATATACAAAAATCAATAGCTTTCCCATAAATAAAAAAAAGGTTAAAAATAAAATGAATACAAGAGCTCTTATATTATTACAAGAAGAAAGATTATATACCCAGGGACAAACCAAAGAAATGTGCAGAGCCTGTATGGAGCCAAATGGAGGCTATTTAAGATGACTTCAGTGTATTTTCCCAGAGTCAGCTCAGTTCTTACTTCAGGGAAGACTGCCCAGACACACCCCACCCCGCCAATTAGATAAAATCACTTATTATAAGCTCACTGTATTACCACATCTCTCTCCTCCTTAGCACTTCACAACTTTACATTTATTTGTGCAATTATTTGCTTGATCTCTATCTCCTCTTCTGGATTTCTTAAGATCCATGATTACAGATACATTACTTTAGTTACATTTATATCTCTAATGCTTAGCAGAGTTCCTGGTGTAATAAGTACTCAATAAATATTTGAGTGAATGAATGAGAGGAAAATATATGCCTGTAATCCCAGCACTTTGGAAGGCTGAGGCAGGAGGATCACCTGAGGTCGAGAGTTTGAGACCAGCCTGACCAACATGGAGAAACCCCGTCTCTACTAAAAATACAAAATTAGCTGGGCATGGTGGTGCATGCCTGTAATTCCAGTGACACGGGGAGGCTGAGGCAGGAGAATCGCTTGAACCCAGGAGGTGGAGGTTGTAGTGAGCCGAGATCATGCCATTGTACTCCAGCCTGGACAACAAAAGCAAAACTCTATCTAAAAAATAGATATATACACACAATATATATTATATATAGTATATTATATATATTATATATAGTATATATAGTATATTATAGTATATTATATATATTGTATATTATATATAGTATATTATATATATTGTATATATAATATATATATTATATACGTATATACACATGCTGTGCTTCATAGACAATATTGTAAAAGTTAAATCTACGTAAATTAATCTGTACATGGATTATAATGACAATCAGAATAGCAACACAGCAACAGCAGTTTGTTTTGTTTTGTTTCTGAGATGGAATCTTGCCTGTGGCCCAGGCTGGAGTGCAATGGCGCAATCTCGGCTCACTGCAACCTCCGCCTCTTGGGTTCAAGCAATTCTCCTGCCTCGGTCTTCCATGTAGCTGGGATTACAGGCGCCCGCCACCATGCCTGGCTACTTTTTTTGTATTTTTAGTAGAGACAGTGTTTCACCATGTTGACCAGGCTGGTTTCGAACTCCTGACCTCAAATGATCCACCCGCCTCAGCCTCCCAAAGTGCTAGGATTACAGACGTGAGCCACCGTGCCTGGCCAACAGCAGCATTTTTTGAAACTTGACAAAATGTTAGTATTAGGATTCATCTAGATTCCAGAGTTGCAAATAGTTGCACAACAATGTGAATGCACTTAATGCCACAAAACAGCATATGTAAAATAGTTAAGATGGTAAATTTTTTTTTTTTTTTTTGGACAGTCTCTCTCTGTCGCCCAACCTGGAGTGCAATGTTGCAATCTCGGCTCACTGTAACCTCCGCCTCCCAGGTTCAAGCGATTCTCCCTGCCTCAGCCTCCCGAGTAGCTGGGATTACAGGCACCCACCACCACGCCTGGCTAATTTTTGTATTTTTAGTAGAGATGGGGTTTCTCCATGTTGACTAGGCTGGTCTTGAACTCTTGACCTCAGGTGATCCACCCGCTTTGGCCTCCCAAAGTGCTGGGATTACAGGCGTGAGCCACCGCGCCTGGCCGAAGATGGTAAATTTTATGCTATATAAATTTTACCACAATAAAAAAATCTGGCTGGCAAAAAAAATTTATCTAGAAACATGAGAATAACCCAAAAAAACACTTAAAGAGAAATAAAAGATGCCTTGTTAGAAATTAAAACATATTATAAAGCTACTTGAAACACTTTGTAGCCAGATAATAAATCAATGAAGCTGAATAAAAAATCCGGAAGTAGATTAATATTTATATGGGAATTTAGTATATAATAAGGATGACACTTCAATTCAATGGGTAAAAGATGGATTATTCAACAAGTTTTGGGGAAACAAGAGCACCATTTTTAAAAGGCTGAATTTGAATTATCAATTTCTTTAGAAAACTGGAGAAACAAGTCCTCTCATATGCCACTAGTGATACTATAAATTGATATAATCCATCTAAAGGGCAATTTGACGATATTGATCAACATAAAAAAATCCACTAAAGCTTTGACTAATCAATTTCACTTCCCACAAATGCATAAAGATGTATATGCAAGGATGTCACTCTGTCGCTGTAACGTTTATTTTTAATGTATTTCTAGAAAGAGAGAGAGACAGGGTCTTGCTCTGTCACCCAGGCTAAAGTACACTGGTGTGATCTCAGCCCACGGCAGCCTTAACATCCTGGGATCAAGCAATCCTCCCACCTTAGCCTCTAAGTAGCTGGGACCACAGGGGTGGCCACCATGCGTGGCTATTTTTTTGAATTTTTTGTAGAGATAGGGTTTCACCATGTTGCCCAGGCTGATCTTGAATTCCTAGGCTCAAGTAATCCGCCTGTCTCGGCCTCCCAAAGTGTTGGGATTACAGGTTTGAGACACTGAACCTGGCCCAGAATCTATATTCTTTGACACATAAGAATTGCACATATTTATGGCGTACAATGTGGTATTTTTATAGTATATAATGCATAATAATCAAGTCAGGGTAATTAGTATATGCATCACCTCAAACCTTTACCATATCTTTATGTTGAGAACATTCAAAGTCCTCTTTTCTAGCAATTTGAAAATATGAATAAATTATTTTTAACTATATTCACTCTACGGTGCTATAGAACACTAGAATTTATTCCTCCTAACTGTAATTTTGTATCTGTTAACCAGCTTCTCTCTATTCCTCTCCTCCCCCTATCCATCCCAGCCTCTAGTTACCACTGTTCCACTCTCTACTTCTATTTGGTCAACTTTTTAGCTCACTGTAACTTTCAAAACCTTGCAATATCACTTTAAAAAACAAAGAAAAAGAAAAGAGTAAAAAAAGAAAGAAAAAACCCTTGCAGTGTCCTAAATATACAAATAGAATACTAGCTAAAATGTCTAACAAGAATACTATAATATGCTGGTTGCGGTGGCTCACGCCTGTAATCCCAACACTTTGGGAGGCCGAGGCGGGCGGATCACCAGGTCAAGCGATCAAGACCATCCTGGCCAACACGGTGAAACCCTGTCTCTACTAAACATACAAAAATTAGCCGGGCGTGGTGGCACATGCCTGTAGTCCCAGCTACTTGGGAGGCTGAGGCAGGAGAATCGCTTGAACCCGGGAGGCAGAGGCTGCAGTGAGCCAAGATTGCGCCACTGCACTCTAGCCTGGCGACACAGCGAGACACTGTCTCAAAAAGAATACAATAATATACAGCTATTAAAATTAGGTAGATCCTTCAGATACATTTCTAAGTGAGAAAAACTACAGAGCCATATACATAGCTCACTTTTATTTAAACTAGCTTTTAAAAGGACATATATGTGTATATGTGTGTATATATATACATGTGTATATGTGTATACACACACACACATATACATGTATGTATATATACATATATATACTTATATAATACATATATATGTCACTTTATGTATTTTTAAAAAGTCTACAGAAGAACTGGTTAACAGTGGTTACCTGGGAGGAGTGAGATTATTTGACTTTGGGGGGGGGGGGGGAATTCTAGTTTTCTTTTTTACCTCTCAGTTCTGTTTTAATTTTATTTAACTATGAGTAAGTTTTATTAATTTATGATAAAGTTTTAAAGTATTAATACATCAAAATGGCCACATAAAACAGCTACATGAAAATGTCATGTACCCATTCAGAAATCTTTGCTGCAGTCCCCCTTTACAAAAAAACTGCCTCTAAACTCTGAGAGCAGGGTCTCTGAACAGAATAAATACCACATAAAAACTTGTTGTTTCAGGTATCAATTGTAAGGAGAGATTAGACTCTCCATTGTCTAAAGAAAATTAAAGTCTAATTACAAAGTTGTAAAGTATTTATGTGTAAATTTAAAAAGACTTCCATCAAAAGGGGCTTCCTTTTTAATACTCAACTAATTAAAAAATAAATCAAATACTTAATCTCAAAGCATTTGGTTAATTTTAATTGATATTTAACTATATATCAATACACTTTAATGTGTAAATTAGTTTTTTTTTCCCCTGGGGAAAACTACTATTCCTCTCTTGTGTGCTTACACATATTACTATTTTTTCCAAAAATAAATGTAGGTTTCATTCTACTGAGAACACTCTTTATAAAAATATCAGATTCCTATTCTAGAAATACCATACAGAGAAATGGGACAATCTTTTTTAAAAAGTGCCAACCTCTATCAACAGAATTTGTATTGAGCATTTATTTGTGAAACATTTATATATTGAGAGCTTTGAAAAAGGCAGGTTATGTAGGTTAAGATCCATCAATATTCCTAATGATGGCTTGGGAGGTAATATTGGAAATACCTATAAAGCATTAGTCATGCCCTCTTTCAAGCAAGAAGAACTGTGGAAGTCTGGCAACAAAAGTTTCCAAGCTGGTAATATGTAATACATTTCAGACTGTTATAGTTTGCACTGGTAATTAATAATTAATACATTTCAGACTGTTATAGTTTGCACTGGTAATAATTAACAATTGGAAAGTCTTCATCCTCTTGCTATTGATTTTAGACCCAGAAAAACATTCTTCACCTCTGCTCAGTCCTTGAGCAGATGAGATTCCTCATGGGAATCTTAAGCTCCAATAGCATGAGAGTTGTGCATTTCTTTCCAGCTGTTCACTTTTATAATTATTATGGCACGAATTAGTGGGGTTTTATTCTGCAAAAAAAAGAAATGTCTTTTTTTTTTTTTTTTTTTTTTTTTGAGACAGAGTTTCGCTCTGTCACCCAGGCTGGAGTGCAGTGGTGTGATCTCGGCTCACTGCAACCTCTGCCTCCTGGGTTCAAGCGATTCTCCTGCCTCAGCCTCCCGAGTAGCTGGGAATACAGGCACACCACCACGCCTGGCTAATTTTTATATTTTTTAGTACAGATGGGGTTTCACCATGTTGGCCAGGCTGGTCTTGAACTCCTGACCTCAAGTGATCTGCCAGCCTCAGCTTCCCAAAGTGCCTCTCTCCTTTTAAACCAAATTATTTGTAAGGAGTATTTTTGAGAAAGGAGAAATTATTGTTTTATATTGGCAGTGCCTCAGTAAAACACTGTCAATTTAAATGTTGATAAACATTTAGATTATTTGGAACGTGGTAGTTTATGCTATTGTACAATTATTAATTACCATTAGTGATGTGTGATTTTTCAGCATTAATTAAAATTTGGATATAGGAAAGAAAAAGAATAATGTGCCTGCCTTTTATTGATGGCAATAAATTTAAAACACATTAGAAAATTAAAAATGAATTACAAATATGTTAAACACATGAATTTAAAACTGAATCATAAACATCAACCATTTCAAAGTTACATGATAATTCTTAAGCATGGGTCATTTAGAGAGTCATACAGTTACAAGACAAATTAAAGAAAGTAAATTTAGGAGAAGGAACTAAGATGTCACTCTTAAGAGTGTAAAAAATGCTTTGAAACTGATGGTGCAGATGTTTATTAAACCAGTACTACGATTTTCATTATAAATAAAATGTTGATTACTAAAGAGCATTTTCAATTTTTATCTTTAAAAAAAAAGAAAAATCAATGATCTTGGCCAGTTATACCAACACAAAATCACACAATTATTGATCTAAATGGTGGGGTCTTAGACCTTCCCTTGCCGATACAATGTTGACAAATGCAAAGCTGGCACTTCCAGCTTCGTGCCCATAGCACAGACTGGTGGAAATTACAAGGACCAAATCAGAGTCAGCAGAGAAGGTAAGGGAGGGCCTTGGGTAGCGAGCACAGGTTCAGCCAAGTCAGCCCTATGACATGTAAATACTGGCTAAATAGCCTGTTTTCTGACCCTGCATTGATATTATACAAAGAGGCTAGATTTTACTTACTTTAGGTTAAGACCTTAAACAGTCACAAGACTGAAAGGGAGAACTCAGCAAGCAGTAGCATGCTTTCTAGGTGAAGGGATCTTTTTAAGGGATCTGATTAGTTTGAAATGCAGTGTAATATGTAATGGAGCAATGTAAGAGATGTACAAATAAACTTCTTTTAAAAAGAGAAGATTTTTACTTATTTATTTTGCAGGGCAGGTGCTGCAAATGGGAAGTGAGCCAAAAATTAAAACTGTTCCTCACAAATATGTCATAAATTATTGTGTACAGTTTTGACATGTTAGGCATTGGCTCTGCATGCCTGAGACTTCTGAGTTCAAGTCATAGAGAGGAGGTCCTCTCACTTGTGGGGATTGCTGATTTCAAAGGGAATTTTTAGATCCTCAACGTGAAAAGATGATATTTTTTCCAGCTCAAATGTTTTTTTAATAGATCACAGCTGGCCAGTCTGGTCCTCAATACCCTTAAAAGACTGTTAGTCTACCCCGACCACTTGAAAGGGTTTAGCATTAGAGAATCTAGGTCAGGCCAACGAAGTGGATTAGTAACTTAATAACTATGTGGTTTATTTAATGAGAAACTGGTGTTACAAGACATTAACTTGCGTGTGCATCTGAATGACCTAGCGGGCTTGTTAAACAAATTGCTTGGTCTTTGGCCCCCACGTTTTTGATTCAGTAAGCCTGAGATGGGGCCCAGGAGTCTGCATTCCTAACAAGTTCCCAGGTGATGCTGATGATGCATATTAAGAATCACTGCTCCAGGTAGTTCAGCTAATTCCCTTGCCATGGTTCCCTAATATCCTTGTTGTTTGACAAATGCGAGATAAAAAGTAGATTAATGACTGGGTGCACTGGCTCATGCCTGTAATCCCAGCACCTTGGGAGGCTGAGACAGGCAGGTCGCTTTAGCCCAGGAGTTCAAGAGCAGCCTGTGCAACATGGTGAAACACTGTCTCCACTAAAAATACAAAAATTAGCTGGCCGTAGTGGCGTGCGTCTGTAATCCCAGCTACTTGGGAGGCTGAGATGGGAGGATGGCTTGAGGTGGAGGCTACAGTGAGCTGAGATTGCATCACTGCACTCCAGTCTGGGCAACAGTGACATCCTATCTCGAATGAATGAATGAATGAATGAATGAATGAATGAATGAATAAGTAGATTAATGGTACTAAAATTTATTACTTAAGATCAGGTGCTACAGTCATTTGGGAGTTACTGTTCACTTTAGGTTTTACCTTCTTCTTGATTCAAACAGTCTGATCTTAGATTCAATGAGAATTAAAAACTGTATATAATAAAATTCGTTCTAGCATGTACTATCTACCTATTTCATAAATCTTAACCTCGGATACGTACTTACCATCTCATTCCCTAATTCCTTTTTCCCTTTATTCGTTACAATCTGACTACTGCCACTACCACATACACCATTGAAATTGTTCTCTTCAAGGTAAACCAGAAACTCATGTAAGATGTCTGCCTTCAGCCTGAATCTCTTTACTAGTGTTTGATATTGTTTATTGATCACTTTGTTCTGAAAACTCTCTTCTCCCTATCAGTGTGGATTTTAGGGACCTTTTCATTGGCTCCGTCGTCTTCTATCTCCTCTCCCCCTTTCCCTAGGCAGACATCATTAACTGATCGTGGCACTCCTAGGGCTTCACAGCATAACCCAGCAGGAAAATGCTCTTAGTTGATTGGTGTTTGTCTGTGAGATGAAACGTGTTGTGAAGGCTCCAAACTATCTCCAGGCCAGGCACTGTGACTCACACCTGTAATCCCAGCACTTTGAGAGGCCAAGTGGGGGGAGATCACCTGAGGTCAGGAGTTTAAGACCAACCTGGCCTACATGGTGAAACCCCATCTCTACTAAAAATACAAAAATTGGCTGGGCCTCGTGGCACATGCCTGTAGCCTCAGCTACCAGGAAGGGAGGCTGAGGCATGAGAATTGCCTGAACCCGGGAGGTGGAAGTTGCAGTGAGCTGAGATTGTGCCACCACATTCCAGCCTGGGTGACAAGAGGGAGACTTCATCTCAGGAAAAAAAAAAAACAAAAATAAACAAGAAGTAGAGGAGAACAGCGAATGGGAGTAGAGCATGTCTGTGTGCTGTTAGGAGTGATTTAGTAGACTGGGAAAAGTTGATGTTTCAGGATAAAGATAACTCCAGGAGAGAAATCCTATATGAACTCCAAGAGATATCATTAATTAAAAAAAATGGGGGGGGGGGGAGTGTGGGGAGGGGACTTGCAGAATACGTACAATATATTTTTAAAAACCTAAACTTTATATAACACAATTATATATTTCAATATATGTAAACATATAAACACACACACACACACAGAATATATACTCCAAACTGGCAACAGTAGTTAATTCTGAGAATACAATTATTATAGTGGGCAAAGGAGGACTTTTTTTCCCAAGTATATAATATATTGCTATTAACTATAGTCATCACGAGTTAAAATAGATCTCTTGCACTTATTCCTCTTGTCTGAAATTTTCTTTCCGCTCATTCATTGATGGACACTTAGGCTACTCTAAGTAATGCTGCAATAAACTTGAGAGTGCAGATATTTCTTTGATATACTGATTTCAAATCCTTAGAATATATATTCAGCAGTGAGATTACCGGATCACATGGTAGTTCTATTCTTAGTTTTTAAATATCTCCACACTGTTTTCCATAATGGTTGTACTAAAAAGAGGATTTTTGCTGTTCTTGCCATTTGAATAATAAAAAAAAACAACCCAGCAATGTATCTATAGATATCTTGTGTAATTTTTTGTAGCAAGTAACTTCTCATTTCCATGAAATAATTTCACTATATAAGAAAACAGCTGACTGACATTCAAGAATAACCTCATGTTTTCTAGCAGAATTTCTTATGAAATTTAAAAAAGACTTTCTGCAATAGGCACTGTTACATTCTAGAAATGTTCTAATAAAGGTACTGATTTTTTTTGTTGTTGTTGTTTGTTTGTTTGTTTTTTGAGACAGAGTCTTGCTCTGTTGCCCAGGCTGGAATGCAGTGGTGTGATCTCGGCTCACCACAACCTCTGTCTCCCAGGTTCAAGCAATTCTCCTGCCTCAGCCTCCTGAGTAGCTGGGATTACAGGTATGTGCCACCACAACCGGCTAATTTCTGTATTTTTAGTAAAGACAGGGTTTCACCATGTTGTTTAGGCTGGTCTCGAACTCCTTACCTCAGGTGATCCACCCACCTCAGCCTCCCAATGTTCTGCTTATTTTTAAAAAACCTTTATGAATAATGTGATTTGCAATTTAAAAATTTATTACAAGGATCTCATTTTCCAAAATATGATTCTGTAAAGTTCATATGAGATTTATGAGGTAGTTTTACATTCTTTTTCCAGTTTCTCTTTTCTTAGTTCTGAATGAGATTTCTAAAGGAGAGATTTTCTTCTCTGTTTCCTTTACATATCCATCTCTGTAGCTGGCAAGATTTGTTGAATGAATTCTAGAATTACTGAGGTCTTTGGGGTCTAATCTGTCCCTCTCCCCCTCCCCCACTTTTTTTTTTTAAACAAAGAACTATCCGTTTAGAGCCACTTCAGCTCAGAACTACTTAGATAGTAGGTTGGATTAGGTTACTTAGGTAAAGTGACCTATTAGTTACTTTAAACCTTGAGATTTAAACAAAAGTTATGACTCTTCTAAAGCAATTACCTCACTTTCTTTGGTGAAACTTGTTAATTTCCTTAGAGGGGTGTATATACAAACTTTTTAGACAGGAAAAGAGGGGAAGGTTGCTTCAGTGACAAGACATGCTCTCCCAACTCTATTCCCTCAGTGAAGGTGCATTAAAATTCTTTTTGTTAAATTCCAGAATCCTAATAGAAACAAAAATACTCCATTTCTTTTTGCACACTTGATCTAACAGAGTTTATTAAATTTTAATAGTGAAAGGGCTCTTAGAGAACATCAAGTCTTACCTCTTCATTTTATCTGTGAGGAAATCATTTATCATTCTGGTGCTAGTACCTAGTTGAAGGAACTTACAATTATAGTTCAAGACAAAACAAAGTCAAAACAAAAATCCTGGTCCTCTGACTTCAGTTAAACACTTTTTTTTTTTGAGACAGGTTTTCACTTCTGTCACCCAGGCTGGAGGGCAGTGGTGTGATCTGGACTCACTGCAACTCTGCCTCCTGGGCGCAAGGGATTCTACTGCCTCAGTATCCCGCGTAGCTGGGACTACAGGCATGTGCCACCATGTCCGGCTAATTTTTGTATTTTTAGTACAGACAGATTTTCACTGTGTCACCCAGGCTGGCCTTGAACTCCTGGATTCAAGCGATCCATCCTCCTTGGCCTTCCAAAGTGTTGGGATTGCAGGTATGAGCCACCACACCCAGCCTCAGGAAAAAAAAAAAAAAAAAAAAGACACAGAATGGGAACATGAAAGTCAGTACAGGTTTGGCACCAGCATCTTCACAAAGAATAGAATTCAACGCAAACATTTTCACAGTAAGTCAATAAAGTGGTACGTCAGGATTTGGGAAATGCCACTGTTTGCAAGCACAAATCTAAAGTCTGTTTTATGACAGACTTGCAAGGGCAAGAATATGGTATAACATATCATGACTTGGAAAAGCTTAAAGCCTCCCAAAGACAGAAATCTGTAATCTTTCCCCCCTACTTAGGAAACTATCTCATGGAAGAGTCACCAAAGTTTTCTTTGAAATGGGAGTTTCAGGTTGATACATAAGGAATGGCTATCTTTACAGATCGGCAATGGCTAGTGACATGTTTGTGAGCCAATTATAAGGTAAATGTAAGTCAGTATGGTCATCATGTCTTTTTTTATAGGTAATAGACAAACTAATGAGGAAGCCATTAGCCTCTCTGGAATAATACCAAATCAGGAAGAAAGTAGGTGGTTATGGGTGTATTGTGGATTACCTTACAGATGCGGAACATATTCAGGGTATCTCTGTGATTCTGTTAGAAAACATTCTTCCTACACCCATGCCACAATCTTCACCAACAGTTGAGATTAGCCAGATGTGTGGTCAGGTCTGATCTCAACGCATAAAGGGAATCTCATGATCTCTTAAGTATGGTGGGATGAGAAATAAGTTCAAGAATACAGTTCCATAGTGAGCAGCAGGTATATTCAAACCTACCCCTAAAGCCCAAAGAATAAGGCTAACAAATCCAATTTCTCAGAAAGAAAATATTTCACAGAGATTTGAAAACATAAGCAGTATCTCGGACAACTGCGAGATGGTGGATCCTCACACCCGTCCTCCAGAAATTATCCTTTAGAAAGCAAGCCTTGGGCCAGGCACGGTGGCTCACGGCTGTAATCCCAGCACTTTGGGAGGCTGAGGTGGGCAGATCACTGGAGGTCAAGAGTTCGAGACCAGCCTGGCCAACATGGTGAAACCCTGTCTCTACTAAAAATACAAAAATTAGCCATGGTGGCACATGCCTGTAATCCCAGCTATTCAAGTAGGCTGAGGCATGAGAATCGCTTGAACCTGGAAGGCGGAGGTTGCAGTGAACCGAAATCATGCCACTGCACTCCACCCTTGGTGACAGAGCAAGACCCTGTCTCAAAAAAAAAAAAAAAAAGAGAAAAGGAAAAAAAGCCTTTAGGATAAAGACATGTGCAGCTGTTACTTTCTTGTGGAAACTTGTGACTACTGGGGAGGTCAGATAAGCATCTTTATGAGGGTTGTTACAGGCATTGTTTAGAGAACTTGCTGCAGAACACTTTGGCATGCAGAGTCAAACATTAGTCATTATGGAGATTTCACTTCAAGATGTTATCACTCTTGCCATGCAACAGGCTATTTTCCTACAAACACCAACTTTATTCCCAGAGCATACCTGCAAATCCTAGATGGAGTATCTTGGAAGCTCGTCTTCCTTGTAGAACACATTGTAAACTCCTGGTCTGTAATAAAAGTAGCTAGGTCTGCAGACTCTTAACCTAATGACGTCAATCCTCATGGCCTGTGCGTAGGTTTCCAGGTAAGTCATTAGTTTGTTATACAACCTTCTTGTGAGGGCTTGGAAGGTGAGGGGAGTATAGCTTCACATCCAAAGTTCTCCTAACTTCCTGGGGACTCCTCTTCTAAATAACAGCAATTATAGCAGTCATGATACCATGTCACCAAAATTCACACCTTTGGGATTTTTCATATAAAATCTAGGATTAATATAAAAATTGCCTTTTTCTCCTCTTAATAAGTAAACATGTAATTGTCTTCTGCTATCAGATTTTAAAAAAAAACCAAACACTTAATAATGAAGTATATATCAAAAAATATTTTTGATTACCTTCACATTAGGTGTAATTTCACTCATGAGCTAAGTGAGTAATAGTGCAGCCCTTCTACTGGCAAAGAAAGACACCACTTCACCACACCTATTGTTTACTGGATATTTTAACAAGCTCTTCAACTTTACTCTTACTACTCCCTTGTAGGTACCCTGATGCTCCAGACAAACTACTATTTGTTTGCCAAACATGTCTAACACATTCCCATCTCCATGCTTTGGTTCATCCAATTTCTTTTTCTTTTTTGAGATGGAGTTTTGCTCTTGTTGCCCAGGCTGCAGTGCAATGGCGTGATCTCGGCTCACTGCAACCTCTGCCTCCTGGGTCCAAGCGATTCTCCTGCCTCAGCCTCCCAACTAGCTGGGACTACAGGCACCCACCACCATGCCCGGCTAATTTTTGTATATTTAGTAGAGACGGGGTTTCACCATGTTAGCCAGGCTGGTCTCAAACTCCTGACCTTGTGATCTGCCCACCTCAGCCTCCCAAAGTGCTGGGATTACAGGAGTGAGCCACCGTGCCCGGCCAAATCAATTTGTTATTTTAAAAATTTACAACCTTTGTTCATGAATACTTTACAAAAGATTTTGAGAATATACTGCTAAGAAGCAAATATTTAAAAATTCTTATTTGTAAAGCTATTTAAAAAATTTTATGGTGACAAATGTTGCAGGATTATTATTCAGTTTTTTTACTTTTAAGATTGTTATCACAGATTTCAACCAGTGTTATTAGTCTGTTCCTGCATTGCTATTAAAAACTACCAGAGGCCAGGCGCGGTGGCTCACACCTGTAATTCCAGCACTTTGGGAGGCTGAGGTGGTTGTATCTGCTGAGGTCAGGAGTTCGGGACCAGCCTGGCCAACGTGGTGAAACCCTGTCTCTACTAAAAATACAAAAATTAGCTGGGAATGGTGGCATGCACCTGTAGTTCCAGCTGTTCAGGAGGCTGAGGCAGGAGATTCACTTGAACTTGGGAGGCAGAGGTTGCAGTGAGCCAAGATCATGCCACTGCACTCCAGCCTGGGTGATGGCAAGACTCTATCTCAAAAGAAAAAAAAAAGAACCTACTGGAGACTGGGTAATTTATTTAAGAATAAAAAAAAAAAGAGGTTTAATTGGCTCATAGTTCTACCAGTGGTACAGAAGGCCTGGCTGGGAAGCCCTCAGGAAACTTACAATCATAGCAGAAGGTAAAGGGGAAGCTGGCACATCTTACATAGCTGGAGCAGGAGGAAGAGAAGGTGAAGGGGGAGGTGCCACACACTTTTAGATAACCAGATCTTTTTTTTTTTTTTTTTTTTTTTTTTTTTTGAGACGGAGTTTCGCTCTTATTGCCCAGGCTGGAGTGCAGTGGTGCAATCTTGGCTCACTGCAATCTCCACCTCCCGGGTTCGAGTGATTCTCCTGCCTCAGCCTCCCGAGTAGCTGGGATTACAGGCATGCGCCACCATGCCCGGCTAATTTTGTATTTTCAGTAGAGACGAGGTTTCACTATGTTGGTCAGGCTGGTCTCAAATTCCTGACCTTAGGTGATCCGCCTACCTTGGCTTCCCAAAGTGCTGGGACTACAGGCGTGAGCCACCATGCCCGGTCAACAACCAGACCTTATGAAAACTCACTATCAGGAGAACAGCCAGAAAGATATCTGCTCCCATGATCCAATCACCTCCCATCAGACTCCTCCTCCAACACTGGGATTACAATTTGACATGAGATTGGGTAGGGACACAAATCCAAACCATATCAACCAAAAATGAGCAAAAATACTGTGCATTAAAATGAGTTTGGTGAATGCTTCCCCTCAAATTAACCCAGATGAAAAAGGAGAAAAACTCTTAAATAGTAGGAAAATTATAATCCATCTTATTGTCACCAACCCCACTGATCCTCTGAATTTGGGCCTGGAGACCTTTGGAGACCAGGGTAGCCTTTCACTTCACTGAAGTAAAAAAAACACTTGATATTTAAGCTCTGAATATATTTAATCTAGATTTTAATTATAAACATCACTTAACATTTTTAAATGTAGTTGGTTTTATGAAAAATTAAAGATCAATTGTAAAAAATAATATTCTCGGGAACATAATTATTTATTACTAGAAACTAAAAGTTATATCCCTGTATATACACAATATTTTCTTTTCAGATTTGATTTCAAGTTTAAAAAAAACAAAATCTTAAAACTAATTTGAGTACAAATCACATTCATACAATGGGGTACTGTAGTAATTACATACAAAACTTTCCTAGAATTAAATTATTAGCCCTTCAATATTTGCATGAAAAGTGACAAAATCCTTACTAAACTGGAAGCATTCATTTACAACCTAAACTTTTAAAACAGGTAGACTATTAAGCAATATTAAAATTTTTAGATCATTAATCTCTTTAAGAATCTGATGAATGCTGTAGAAATTTTCCCCAGAAAAATGCACATATTGAAGCCTAAGGACTGAATAATCGTGTAATTCATTCAACATATCCTAATTGAATGCCTACTGTGTCCCAGGGATCCAGAAGTAAAAAGATGCATAAGGTCTTTTTCCTCATGAAGCTTACGTCATAGGGATAATGACAGAAAATGTAAAAAGTAAATAATACATAATTATAGACTGTGATTGATATGCTTTGCCTTTGTGTCCCCACCCAAATCTCACCTTGAATTGTAATAATCCCCACAAGCAAGGGCAAGACTAGGTAGAGATACTTGAATCATGGGGGCAATTCCCCCATGCTCTTCTCGTGATAGTGAGTGAGATCTCATGAGATCTGATGGTTTTATAAGGGGCTTCCCACTTCGCTCGCCACTCACTCTTACTGCATCCTACCGCCCTGTGAAGAGGTGCCTTCTGCCATGATTTTAAGTTTCCTCAGGCCTCCCCAGCCATGCAGAACTGTGGGTCAATTAAACCTCTTTCCTTTATAAATTACTCAGTCTTGGGCAGTTCTTTATAGCAGCATGAGAATGGACTAATACAGTGGTAGATTTCACTGATAGATACAATAGATTTCAGTTATCCTTTGTCCTAATTTAGGACAAAGGATAAACCTCAACTCTGAGGAATTTTTTAAAAAATCCTTATATAGTAAGCATTTTGTCACTTTTCATGCAAATATTGAGGGGCTAATAATTTATTTCTATTGTGAGAATTTTTTTTTTAAAAAAAGAGAATCCATTTTATATCTCCTAAGAAAATGTCATCATACAAAAAATAAAATATTTAAAATTTATTTAATTTTTAGAAAACAGGAAAAAAATCTTAAAAAACAAAAATATTATCATATCCTGTTGCTTGCTGTACCAGAGAATGAGCTTTCTAGACATCCAAGGAGAATGCAACAAAACTAAAAATGATGAAAGGAAAAAAAAAATACTCTCTTAGGGGCTCTGGAGCAATGAAAGAATCTGGTTTTCATATTTATAGGCAAGAAAGCTTTCACAATCACTAAGGGTTTTTAGCATGCACAGTCAGTACAACAGTTATCAAAGTATATTTTATTCTGCTCATAGACTGCTGCTGTCAGATGTAGAATCCCATATTTGGGAGAGAAAGGAAGCAAGGGAAGGGCAAATTAGGAAAAGCCAGCTAGTTGAGATTTAAGAATTAACATTTCTAGCCTGGCACAGTGGCTCACCTCCAATACCAGCACTTTGGGTGGCTGAGGTGGGAGGACTGCTTCAGCCCAGGAGTTCAAGACCAGTCTAGGCAACATAGTGAGGCCCCATCTCTATAAAAATAGAAAAATTAGCCAGACATGGTGGTACATGCCTGTAGTCTCAGCTACTTGGGAGGTTGAGGCAGGAGGATGGATTAAGCCCAGGAGGTAGAGGCTGTAGTGAGCAGTGATCATGCCATTGCACCCCAGCCTGCATGAGAAAGCAAGACCCTATCTCTAAATAAACAAATAAACACATTTATTTCCTTAAACACTTTTATTTTTTAAAAAGTTTATTTTTCTTTGAATTTTCCCTCCTGTGTGTCTCACAAGGAAGGCTTGCTTCCTTATAAAGAGATCTGGTGGGCTTAAAATGAAGAGCTTTCTAAAAGTCCTTCAAAATTAGCATGTTAAAATTTTTATTGTGCTATGTATAACTTATTATAACCACAACCAGAATTCAAGTGTAAAAGTTTTTTCTTTTTTCTTTGAGATGGAGTCTCACTTTGTCACCCAGACTGGAGTGCAGTGGTGTGATCTCAGCTCACTGCAATCTCCACCTCCTGGGTTAAAGCAATCCTCCCATCTCAGCTTCCCGAGTAGCTGAGACTACAGACATGTGCCACCATGCTCAGCTAATGTTTTTGTCTTTTTTTTTTTAGTAGAGACTGGGTTCACCATGTTAGCCAGGCTGGTCTCAAACTCTTGACCTCAAGTGATCTGCCCGCCTCAGCCTCCCAAAGTGTTGGATTACAGGCGTGAGCCACCGCGACTGGCCAAGTTTTTTCTTTTTAACTTACATATATATTTCAAAAGGAATGGAAGAACTTGATCAAATAACGAGAAAATACCCAGCACAGTAATATCTACTAATTACTTTTTCTCAAACTGCTACCTCTTCCCTTTCTTAAAAAACCTTATCAAACAACAAAAACCCTCTTCAGAAAATCTAATGCAGCTATAAAGTAAAATGTTAAAAACTGATCCTTACTGATGTCCAGATTAAACATTTTACTGGCCGGCTGGGATTACAGGCATGAACCACCACACTTGGCCACGTTAGGTTTTAAATCTAGAATAAACATTCCTTGTTAACGAGAACAAAATTGTTTACCAATAAGAAATCTTTGTCATATAAAATTGTGTGATCATATCTTTCTCCACTCCCACTGCTTCACTTGAGTAGCCTTTAAAAATTTTTGTGATTATATATTTTAAAAAACCACTTTAGTATTTACTTATCTTTATTGAATGCTCTGTTAAAATTTGCCTTTAAGGGAATGAATGACAGGGAGGGTGAGGGAAATTTTGCTTTTAAATTCTATTCATTCCACTGAATTCATTTTTATGTTGTCCCTGAAATATATATTTAATAAACACTACTTGTAAAGAAAGCTACAAAATAAAATAAAAATAATTGTGTCAATCTTGAAGTGGCATTGTTTTATATTAGGTCATATAATTAGTTTCTGGCAGACCTGGTTTTTGCAGTTCACACATCATGGCATTTTAAAATTACAAAATAAAATGTCCATATGTTTTATTCTGCTTGAAAAAGTACCTGTTCCTAGTTTTATGATTAATCCTTGACATTCATGGAAAAGCAGTAAATTACCTACAATACTATTAGTCACATTTTACTGAAACAATTTTGTGCATAAGCTTTTTAAAAGAAATATGAAACTTTTTACTAAAAGTACAATGTTAGAAATAATCATAAATGGAACCAAAGCCAGTTTGTACCTCAAAGAACTTCTTCAATGTCTTCTATTGCCAAAACAGCACTTTGATTTTGGACAAAACGCTTCAGAGGAAATATGTGCTAGAATGAAAATCCAAGACATATTTTTAAAATCTCTACCAGATAAAACAGAAACAATTGCTCGGAAGGCAAACAAAACAAAGCAAAACCTTCTTTAATCTTCAATTTGGCTTTTATTTTAAAATACATTTAGCATAGAACTGTCATAGGACAGAAAATAATAAAACACAAATGGAACATTTTCAAATACCTTTTAAGCTAGACATAAAAATCAACAGGATAGCATAGGCCCAAATTATGGGAAACGGTCCCTAAAATTCAATTCATTAAACATACATTTTGAAAGTAAAGCTCTTTTCACATTTTCCAACGTACCAATATTTTCCTACATGCCTTGGTTTCCTTTTAACTAATAAGTAAAGGGTAAATTTAGTTGCTTTACTTAAAATTACCAGCTTCAGTTTTGGTAAAAATTACCATGCCCCTAAATTCTCAATCAGAATTATAAAAATATGAGCTCAAATAGTTATGGTGCCCAAAATAGAAACATCTGAAGTGATAGTTCTGGATAATCATACAGATATTGCACTAAAATCAGTAATTTCATACCTGGTATTTATTTATATGGAAAGTTAATCTCTTCTTTATGAAAAACTTTCTACAAATACACTTACTATTAACGTAAGTACAACCACACTTCAAAATATAAAGGTAGACAGAAAAAAGAATAGTTTAATACTATACGCAAATTTTCCACTGTGAAAATAATAGAAAGTTGAAAAAATAATAGGATCTAAAATACTGATACTAATTTTAGGTTTTATAATTTACCTTAAATAGCCAATAAATGGGTATTAAAAGTTAACGGTGCTAAATCCAATCCTTTCCAAATTATTTAGAAAAATGCTTTGTTTACATATGAAGTATGTGCATTGTCCCATCTATAAATTTCAACGTTTCCATTCACTGGAAATACCTACCTGCAGTATAAACAATCAAGACAATGTACAAAAAATATGTCCTGCTCCTATAACTTACAATGCACAGAAAAATATCTACAAAAAGGGAAGTATTTATCCATTTAGCTTTCTAATAAATTGGTGAGAAAGTTTAGCCCATTCCACATTTCTTTCTAAATAAAGGCTAAAGAGTTAAGGGTAATTTACTTTTATGCCTGTCACCCTGACATACATTTTTTAAAATATTTGCTTGATTATATGTAACTTAAGATAAAGTTAATGTCTTATTTTTACATCACAGTACACATAGCATTTCTTAATTTAGCAACGGAAAGGCACAATTAGCAAGCAATAAAATTCAGTACCTGAATTATTAAACTGACATCCAGAATAGCTGCAAATAAAGTTCATTCAAAACAGTATACAGAACTTAAAAAAAAATCCAAAAACTAATTTTTCTAAAAATTTGGTCCATTAAAAATGCCTCCCATGTTCAACATCATGGATAACATGAAAGGTAATGGCAGTGTAAAAACAGGCAGTAAATCAATGTATAGTAGCATATGCATTCTGGTCTAGTAATTACGCAATTCAATTAGGAAATGGCTCCCATAGTAAATAAATGTTAAATATATCTGTTAATAACAACATACCTGTATGTAGTTCAAATACACAGGCACAACTGTTTGCATATTATTATTGATTTTATAATACACTCCCATAGTTTAAAAAAACACTTAGGTATATTATTTTATATATAATATATATCAGATATATAATTGCATATTATGTACCTTATATATATTATATATAAGTTGAATCCATAATACAAAACTCTCCAAACATTACATGAACATTCTAAATGGATACTTATCATTTTCTCAGTAACGAAATAGCTCAGCTCACCTAAAACAGTATCTGGATGTGCAATGATAAAATGCACTGACTCTTATGAATTTACTTAAATAATTATTTAAGTTAAATTCCTGCAAAAGCCTAATTCTGACCTGGCTTTACCTGGAATATATTTTTGGGTATCAGTAACTGATACCCTCCTTTCTTATCATAAACAATACTTCTCCATCAAGAGATACCAATAAAGAAAAATATGTAAGGAACAAAAAATGTGATGGAGAAACCAACCATTCCATAGGTAATATACCGATAAGGAAGTTCAACTTCCATGTGCTGTCTTGCTTTTCGAATATCATCACACGGTATATTGAAGATTTTGCAGGCTAAAGGAATGGTGATCTTTTTCATTACATCTCTGATTATTAGTACAAATACCATCCCTATGAGGATCCGCAATATGGCTTTTCCAAACAGAGTCACAGTAATGGGGGGCCCAGCTAAAGGTAATGTATCTAGAGAAGGATCTAATACTAGACCCATGTTATAAGTAACATGAGATCCACATGCAATTCCAGCACCACTTCCTAGTATCTCGGCTGTGTCTCCTCGGGATGTGCTCCAGGTGTCAAGAGTGAAAGAAAAGATCCCCAAAGCTAAATGAAGCCCGATGATGATGAATGGAGCATATTTGTGAGTTTGGTTGAAGTTGTCAATCAGGTCCACAAATGGATAGAAGACAGCTAAGATTAAAATGGTATATAGGAATCCAGCAATAATATCCTAGGAAAAGATAAAAGTATCGTTGTTTAGTATAATACTGAATATTTTTGGCATTTAAAAAATAATTTATATTTGACATTTCAAATGTTGAATATACATAAATTTTTTAAAGTTGTCAAATTCTCAAAGTAAACTTTATTAACTGACCATATAAGAGGCACTAAAAGCTGTATTAATAATAAAAGGATTTATATTTTCATAATTCTACCCTTTTATAAATTAACTACATATATAATATCCACAAATTTACATTCAAATTCTGAACAACAAATTATGCTAAAATTGTGTAGTTTTGATTTCTGGGGAAAAGTACACTTATTATTCAAAGAAATGGTTTTCATTTTCATATGTTTATGTATGTAATTATCTCCATGACCACACAGGATATACATCCTAGGTAATTTTCTTTTCTCATTCATTCATTCATTGAACAAATATTTATGAGTGCCAACCCCTATTTTAGGGGTTGAGGATACATTGCTTTAAAAAATGACAAGAATGTGGCTGGGCAAGGTAGCTCATGTCTGTAATCCCATCCCTTTGGGAGGCTGAGGTGGGTGGTTCACTTGAGGCCAGGAGTTCAAGACCAGCCTGGGTAACATAGTGAATCCCTGTCTCTACTAAAAATGCAAAAATTAGCCAGGTATGGTGGCTCCAGCCTGTGATCCCAGCTACTTGGGGATGGAGGCATGAGAATCGCTTGAACCCAGGAAGTGGAGGTTGCAGTGAGCCAAGATCATGCCATTGCACTCCAGCCCGAGTAACAGAGCAAGACTGTTGATAACCACATAAGAAAGCAGATAAATATTACAATTTCAGATTGTTATGAATCTTATGAAGAAACTAAAACAGGACAACAGAATAGTATGATGAAGGACCCGATTAGAGTACTGATTGATTAAGGAAGCCTGTCTGAGGGTGGTGACAGTTGAGCACAGATCTGATTCTAAAGGGAGCCTATATTTAGAGGCAGAGGAAATGTGTACCAGGTAGAGGGAATATCAAGTGCAAAGGCTTTTGTAGGCTAGGTAAGAGAGTAGATTTTATTTCAAAAGTGATAGGAGCTGGGTGCAGTGGCTCATGCCTATAATCCCAACACTTTGTCGAAACTGCTTGAGCCCAGGAGTTGGAGACCAGGCTGGGCAACACAGGGAGACTTCGTCTCTTAAGAATAAAAAGTGAGGTCAGGTGCAGTGGCTCACACCTGTAATCCCAGCACTTTCAGAGGCCGAGGCGGGTGGATCACCTGAGGTCAAGAGTTCAAGACCAGCCTGGCCAACATGGTGAAACCCTGTCTCTACTAGAAATACAAAAGAAAATTAGCTGTGTGTGGTGGCACACACCGATAATCCCAACTACTTGGGAGGCTGAGACAGGAGAATCGCTTGAACCCGGGAGGCAGAGTTTGGGGTGAGTCAAGATCGCACCATTGCACTCCAGCCTGGGCAACAAGAGTGAAACTCCAACTCAAAAATAAATAAATAAATAAGTACATACATACATACAAAAATTAGCCGGGCATGGTGGTACGCGTTTGTAATCCCAGCTACTCAGGAGGCTGAGGCAGGAGAACTGCCTGAACCCGGGAGGCCGAGGTTGCAGTGAACCGAGATGGCGCCATTGCACTCCAGCCTGGGTGACAGAGCAAGACTCTGTCTCAAAAAAAAAAAAAAAAAAAAAAAAAAAATTTTAAAAGAATTGACAACTGTAACTTGATGATGGATTGAATGTGAGAAACAGCAAGAAGAAAGAGAGGAATCAGAGACGGTTCCTAGTTTTAGGTAGGAGCAATTGTGTAGACTTGATAGAAGATGGTTTACTTGAGGAAACAAAGCTATTAAATAACTTTCTGAATCATTCCTGACAACATACAAAAATGTTCCGTATTTCTACCTTACAACAAAACAAAACCCTATGATCTACTATTACTGAAAAACTTATCAATGTTTATATTCACTGTCTCCACTTCCTCACCTCTGATTTTTCTCTAAACTCACCACTACACTGAAACCACTTTTTTCATGGATACTAGAGGTCTTCAAAAACAACCGTCATTTCTTTTTTTTTTCTTTTTTTTTTTTTTGAGATGGAGTCTCGCTCTGTTGCCCAGGCTGGAATGCAGTGGCGTGATCTCAGCTCTCTGCAACCTCCGCCTCCCAGGTTCACGCCATTCTCCTGCCTCGGCCTCCCGAGTAGCTGGGACTACAGGCGCCCGCCACCATGCCCGACTAATTTTTTGTATTTTTAGTAGAGACGGGGTTTCACCGTGTTAGCCAGGATGGTCTCTATCTCCTGACCTCGTGATCCTCCCGCCTCAGTCTCCCAAAGTGCTGGGATTACAGGCGTGAGCCACTGCATCTGGCCAGGTCATTTCTTAACAATATTCAATACAGTTAAGCAACAGACTAGTTGCTTGATGTTTCTGTCTTAAAATTTTTTATTATATAGGATTTGATACATAGCAAAATACATGTACAGTATATATGAAACTATAAAATTCATATCTATGAAATCACTTCCCAACAAAAGAACTATAATATTACAAGAATTGTCAAATCTACTGTTGTGCTGTTTCTCAACCTATCACTCTGCATTCCTCCCTGGAGGCAATTTGCAAGCATGAATTTTGGCTTCATAAATACCTGGGATTTTTTGTTTGTTTGTTTTGTTTTGTTTGTAGATACCAGGTTTCACCAGGTTGCCCAGACTGGTCTTGAACTCCTGGGCTCAAGTGATCCACCTACCTTGGCCTCCCAAAGAGCTAGGATTACAGGTATCAGCCACCGGGCCTGGCCATAAATACCTATTTTTTCAAATCGTTTTACCACATATCTTCAAGCAAAATATTATCTAGTTTGGCCCGGGGGTGGTGGCTCATGCCTGTAATCCCAGCACTTTGGGAGGCCAAGGTGGGAGGATCACCTGAGGTCAGGAGTTCGAGACCGGCCTGGCCAACATGGTGAAACCCTATCTCTATTAAAAATACAAAATTAGCCGGGTGTGGTGGCACATGCCTGTAATCCCAGCTGCTCTGGAAGCTGAGGCAGGAGAATCGCTTAGAACCCCGGAGGTGGAGGTTGCAGTGAGCTGAAATTACGCCACTGCACTCTAGCCTTGGTGACAGAGCAAGACTCTGTCTCAAAAAAAAAAAAAAAAATTATCTAGTTTTGCTTCTTTCTGAGCTTTGCTAAAATGTTACAGCAGTCTCTTTTGAACTGCTTTTTACACTTAACATTAAGATTCATTCATTATATTATATGTAGTTATCGGTCATTCACTTTCACAATCATGTAATATTCTGCTGCATCATTATACAATTTATTGGTTTTCCCACTTATGGTCATTTAAGCTGTTTTTGGGTTTTGGATTAGTTAATTGATTACGGTTGAACTTGAATGCTTCTCTGTTTTTTGTTTTGTTTTGTTTGTCGCCCAGGCTGGACTTTGGTGGCACAATCTCAGCTCACTGCAACCTCCACCTCAAGTTGTCCTCCCCACTTCAGCCTCCTGAGTAACTGGGACTACAAGCGTGCATCACCATGCCCAGCTAGGCTAAGTTTTGTATTTTTTGTAGACAAGGTTTTGTCATGTTGCCAAGGCTGGTTTCCAACTTCTGAGCTCAAGCAATCCACCTGCCTCAGCCTCCCACAGTGTTGGGATTACAGCTGTGAGCCACTGTGACCGGCTGGGCTATTTCTTTTCTATGCAATAAAAATTGTGTCATGAAATGACAGGGTCCGCAGTTGCAGTGCTTGAAGCCATTGTTCTAAAAGAGATATAACTCCAAATCGGAACACTTTGGAATATAAGAATAGCTGGAGAAGAAGATACAGATAATTATGAAAAAGAATACAGTTGAACATTCAACTATAAAATGGTAGGGAAATAGACTATGTTTTGTTCAACCTCAAATATTTTTTGGATGGATGAATGAATGAATAAACAAATCCTTCACATGAATTTGTTTTGTCTAGCAGAATCTACCAAATTACTTGTAAATGAATATCTTTCCTCTCTTTAAATGATGTACTACATGATAGATATAAGAAAATATTTTATTTATTTATTTATATGAGACTGAGTGTCACTCTGTTCCCCGGGATGGAGTACAGTGGCACCATCTAAGCTCACTGCAGCCTCTACCTCCTGGCTTCAAGCAATTCTCCTGTCTCAGCCTCCCAAGTAGCTGGGGTTACAGGTGTGCGCCACCAACCACACTCAGCTAATTTTTGTATTTTTAGTACAGACAGGGTTTCACCATGTTGGGCAGGCTGGTCTCGAACTCCTGACCTCAGGTAATCTGTCCACCTTGGCCTCCCAAAGTGCTGGGGTTACAGGTGTAAGCCACCATGCCCAGCCATGAAAAACATTTTAAAAATTTTATTTAGATATAAAACATAGTTTGGCTGATAGTCTCCTATTGTACAATAGTAAGTAAATAAAGTTGCTTAAAATTATAATTGTATTCTCTTTATTTAAATAAGTGATTCCTTTTATAACAGGTCAAGGAAAGATATTACACAATCAATTAACAAAATGTTTACGCTCGATCTTAGCCAAAAGGCTGAGAGGTGATCAATTAACAAAATGTTTAGGAAAGTGTCAACTAAGGCAATAAATATCATGTGTGCATTCCAACTCTTAGAAGGACATATAAAGCATTTCATAACTGAGTTTTGTCTATCATTAAGTTTCATTTAATGCCAGATCCCAAAATGAATTTATAGACTATTTCTTCTTGTCTTAGAATTATCTTTCCTACCTATATTTCAGGCAAACTATTATATATTCTTTGAGATTCTCCTCAGGCATCTACCTCCTCCATAAACTTTCTTCTCCTACCCTGTAATAAGAAATTTTCTCTTCTTTGATTCCACTGCATCCTCCACATACCTGCTATGACTGTTTTCCATTCTTTGCTTGTCTGTTTCTCCAGGAAACCAAAAGTTCATAACCCTTGCTGTAGATTAAAATCAAGTGGAGAACTTGATAAAAATACTGATGCCTGGGACAATATTCAGAGATTATGATTGAACTGAAGTGGGGGTAGGGCATCAGTATTTTTTAAAAATCTCCCCAGTGATTCTGATGTACACCCTGGTTGAAAACAATTGCATTACACTGTTTTATTACATACTGCATATTTAGACAATGACTACTCAAAGGCAAAGACTTTACCTTATTTATACATATATTTTCAGTGCATGAAAAATAAGTAAGCAGGAAATAAATGTTTGGTTAGTTAAATTAAGACAGTTAAGGTAATTCTTTAAAAATAAAAATAAAAAACAAAAAGAGAAAGAAAAAAAAAGAAGAAAGGAAGAAAGAAAAAGAGTTAAGGTATTCTTTAGACTCATCACATTGACTACATAATCCTGCCTGACAAGAGCTCTATAAGAGAAGCAGATGATATATAATTTATTGAACCAGGCCTAAGACATTTTTGGAGAATAATAACTTTCCGTACTAAAAACACTGCTTCAATACTTTACAATTATTGTCACATTTAACCATAACAACCAATATGAAACAGCTTGCCTCGAAAAGTCCCATTTTGCTCTTGTCCCCAGGACAGGTATTAAAAGCACCTTTTTCCCTTTCAAAAGTGTGCAAATTTGATGGAAATTTATGGTTACCTTAATCAACCAGTTTTTAAATAATGAAAACTGGAGTAAGGTCACACAGCTGCTTATTTAACCTCTTACATTGAAGGTACTTGACACAGTTGTTATAAAAATTAACATTTTGAGAATCAGAAATTAAATATTGGGAGTGAAGAGAAACTAAATGTTCAACTTCCTTTTTTTTTTTTGGAGACAGGTCTTGCCGTGTCATTCAGCCTGTAGTGTAGTGGCGTGGTCATAGCTCACTGAAGCCTCAACCCCCTGGGCTCAATTGATCCTCCCACCTCAGCTTCCCAAGTAGCTGGGACTACAGGCGCAAGCCACCAGGCCTGGCTAATATTTTGTATTTTTTTGTAGAGACAGGCTTTCCCTATGTTGCTCAGGCTGGTCTTGAACTCCTGGGCTCAAGTGATTCACCCACCTCAGCTTCCCAAAGTGTTGGAATTATAGGCATTATCCACCACATCCAGCCTCAACACTTTTTTTTTGAACAGGATGTCTTCCGAGAAAACTCACTGATACATACTAAAAATTACCAAAGAATTCTGATCAACTGGATTTTATTTCAGTTACTCAAAGATTCCACAAGTGACTCAAACTCTGACCATGCATTTGGATAAGGAGATCTCAAATGATGTGACTGTCAAACCTCTATTCTTCATATTTCTTTTTTTGAGAGAGGATCTCACTGTATGGCCATGGCCTAGGCTGGAGGGGAGATCATGGCTCACCACAGCCTCGACTTCCTGGGCTCAAGCAATCCTCCCACCTCCCAAGTAGCTGGGACCACAGGCACACACCACCACACCTGGCTAACTTCTTGTATTTTTTTTTATAAAGACAGGGTTTTGCCATGTTGCCCAGGTTGATCCAGATATCCTGGGCTCAAGTGATCCACCCGCCTCGGCCTCCCGAAGTGTTGGGATTACAGGCGTAAGCCACTGCACCTGGCCAATTCTTCATATTTCAGAGCCCAAATTGCCAAAATAACTTCACCTTATGAGGTTACATTCCCTTTGTTTGCTATCTTACCCTTACTTCCCTACCTTGTAATTAAAGGCACAAGTCTTGGTAAATACCCATAGGATTTTGGCTACAAAAATAAAAGCTGTTGCTTTACTTTTTATCTTAAATTTCATGAGTGATTTAGAATTTCATGTTATATGCTAAAGTGTATATATTCTAAACTTTGTACTTTTCACATAGAATTTATATCAAGTCAGATGTTTCAGACAAATGACAACTGATAAGCTATTTATATAAAGCCATACATATTTACTCTAAGGTTAAGTGAAATGAAGGGTTAACAGCTCTGAAGTTAGCTTTTTATTAATTATTTTTATTTTTATTTTTAGATAGGATCTTGCTCTGTTGCCCAGGCTGGAGTACAGTGGCAAAATCACAGCTTATTGCAGCCTCAATCTTCCTGGCTCAAGCAATCCTCCCACCTTGACCTCGTGAGTAGCTGGGATTACAGGTACAAGCCACCATGACCAACTTATTTTTTAATTTTTTATAGAGACGAAGTCTCCCTACATTGCCCAGGTTGGTCTTGAACTCCTCCCACCTTGGCCTTGCAAATTGTTGGGATTATAGGCGTGGGCTGCTGTGCCCAGCCAGGTATTTTTTTAAATTATGTATTTTTTCATAATAGATATAAGCATATGTTCAATCCTGTAAAATGTTTCTTTTATAGTACCTTAAAAAGTGAAAAAACTGGCCAGGCACAGTGGCTCATGCCTGTAATCCCAACACATTGAGAGGTCAGGGCGAGTGGATCGCTTGAGCTCAGGAGTTCGAAAGCAGCCTGGGCAACATGGCCAAACCCTGTCTCTTCCAAAAAGAAAAAATAGAAAAATCAGCAGGGCATGGTGGTCCCAACTACTTGGGAGGCTGAAGTGGGAAGATCGCTTGAGTCCAGGAGGCAAAGGTTGCAGTGAGCAGAGATTACGCCACTGCACTCCAGCCTGGGTAACAGAAGGAGACCCTGTCTCAGAAAAGAAAAGAAAAAAAAAAAAGAAAAAATTCATTAAATGTCTTTAAATTGTTATGTTTGATCTCTTTAACATTAAGAATTCTTTAAAATAATAACTTCTCATGTATCAATTGACATAAAAAATCCATTATTTGTTGTCCTCTACTTTTTGTGTATAGCTCCACGAGTATTAAACTTAGATTGTTCCACACCTTGTCTGACCAGGAAAAAAAAACAAAACAAAACTTAGATTGCTACGAAACTAGACAAATCTGCTTCCTTTTCTGTTTGAGTTTTAAATTGTTTATATTTCCCTAGATAGGGTATATTGAACTCCTATCCAATAGAATCAGAAAAAGAAACATTCAAATTTACGACATAACCATGTTGGCTATCATTTTGATATCAATATAATGGATAACATTAAAATGTATAACTAAGTGGTTTTAAGTGTTAGAGCACAAAGTATGCAATAAAGAACATTAATGTTAAAGGTAACAAAGAGCTCAAAGTAGCAAATTTTCTAAAAGGAAATTTAGCAAATAATTTTAGCTATTTATTATTATAAATAACTCTTATACCCCAAAATTTGTTAATTACACATCTAAATGGAATACTCCAGGTTATCGTCAATTTATGGTAGATGATATTAAATACCATACATTTAATGAAGATTTATTAGGTATTAAATTTGAAAATTTTTTTCATTTATACTGATCAAACCTAGAGAGGCTAGTGATTTGCTGAGACTGAAATTCAGGTCTCCCATCTCATAATGGCTTTTTTGTTTTTATTTATTTTATTTTATTTTATTTTTTTTGAGAGGGAGTCTCGCTCTGTCGCCCAGGCTGGAGTGCAGTGGCGCGATCTCTGCTCACTGCAAGCTCCGCCTCCCGGGTTCACACCATTCTCCTGCCTCAGCCTCCCCAGTAGCTGGGACTACAGGCGCCCGCCACCACGCCTGGCTAATTTTTTGTATTTTTAGTAGAGACGGGGTTTCACCGTGTTAGCCAGGATGGTCTCGATCTTCTGACCTCATGATCCGCCCGCCTCTGCCTCCCAAAGTGCTGGGATTACAGGCGTGAGCCACCACGCCCAGCCTTTTGTTTTTATTTTAACTATAATATATTTCAGGTGCCCTGGATCCAGTTTAAATATGACAATGACAACAGTTTCTGACAACAAAATGTATTGTTATAATGCATTGTTTTTGATTATAAAAGCTATGATTAGGGATGACTTTTGAAGTATCTATCTTCTTTCATTAAAATACACATTTAATACATGCTCACTACACAAAAAGTAAAAATTATAGATAAACAATAACAAACAGTTTTTAACCTAACAATAACCATTGTTAAAACTCTTAGTGTTAGGCTGGACATAGTGGCTCACATCTGTAATCCCAGCACCTTGAGAGGTTGAGGTGGAACGATCACTTGAACCAGGAGTTTGATATCAGCCTGGGCAGCATAGCTAGACCCTATCTCTACAAAAAATTTAAAAATTAGCTGGGCATTATAGTACATGTTTGTAGTCCTAGACACCCGGGAGGGTAAGGTGGGAGGATCACTTGGGCCCAGGAGTTTGAGATTGCAGTGAGCTATGTTTGCACCATCACACTCCAGCCTGGGTGACAGAGCAAGACCTTGTCTCTAAAAAGGCAAACAAACAAAAAAGAACAGATGTTGTCCATCCTGGATATTTGACTAACCCAACTAAACATTTCATTTTTAAAAAAGAACAGTATCAGCCAGGCATGGTGGCTCACACCTGTAATCCCAGGACTTTGGGAGGCCGAGGTGGGTGGATCACTTGAGGTCAGGAGTTCGAGACCAGCCTGGCCAACATGATGAAACCCTGTTTCTACTAAAAATACAAAAATTATCAGGGCATGGTGGCATGCACCTGTAATCTCAGCTATTTGGAAGAATCCCTTGAACCTGGGAGGCAGAAGTTGCAGTGAGCTGAGATCACGCCTCTGCACTTCAGCCTGGGTGACAGAGCAAGACTCCATCTCAAAAACAAACAAGCAAGCAAACAAAACCAGTATCTTTGAGATTATATATTCAATGTGATCACATAGATTCTTTTTCTTCCTTGTATGATGATAATGAGTCAAGGGATATTATCTAATATCTTTTTCTCCAAGAAATACCAGGAATTCACTTTTTATCACTAAAGATGCATAACCATTTGGTAGTTTTTTCAGAAGTAGTGATGCTAACTTTTAGGGGTGGAACAGAATAACTCTAAAAAGACACAGAAGATAGAAAACATTTTCTTGTAACAAGTATTTGATTTTGCATAAAAATATGATACTTAATCTGATTACAAAATTAGGAGAGATTAGTCAGAAAGAAGTGTATGTAAATTCACAATTCATATTAAATACAAATAATTATAAAAAGTCAAACACAAATAATTTGTTTATTAAAATAGTGTTTAGGGCTGGGCGCAGTGGCTCACATCTGTAATCCCAGCACTTTGGGAGGCCAAGGCAGGTGGATTACCTGAGGTCAGGAGTCTGAGACCAGCCTGGCCAACATGGTGAAACCCTGTCTCTACTAAAAATACAAAAATTAGCCGGGTGTGATGGTACATGTCTGTAATCCCAGCTACTCAGGAGGTTGAGGCACAAGAATTGCTTGAACCTGGGAGGCAGAAGCTGCAGTGAGCCGAGATTGTGCCACTGCCCTCCAGCTTGGACAACAGAGCAAGACTCTGTCTCAAAAAGAAAAAAAAGTGTTTGGTAGGGACTTCAAAAGGAGAGAGGGAGAGCGGGGGGAGGAAAGGGCTGCAAAACTTCCTGTTGGGTACTATGTTCACCATCTGGGTCACAGGATCAATAGACGTCCAAATCTTGGCATCACACAATATACCTTTGCAAACAAATCTGCTTATGTACCCCTTGAATCTAAAATTAAAATTTAAAAAAACCTAGAAACAATGACCAACCCCAAAATTACAGCACACACTGCCTCCCAACAAAATAAAATAGTGTTTGGGACTTCTGGAAATTTATCTGTGAAGGAGCAGGTGCTGGAAGCAAGAAATTTGAGATAGAAACCAACATTTCTATAACTAAGAAATAAGAGAATGAAATAATATGAGAAAAAAAATTCTAAAAATGGTAACATGTTAAGGACAAGAAAAAAACTGACATGACCCATTAGAAACTAGAATTCCATGAATTCTTCCACCTTTTTTTGTGATCCTTTATCTCCATGATAATACATAATTCATTCATAGATGCCTCATGAGACACCATGTTGGATACTAAAGGTAGAGTTAAAACACACAGTTGCTGTTCTCAAGGAACTTGGAGTCTAGTATACTTGACAGATAAGGAAAAAAGCAATTGCAATTTAGGATAAGTGGGGAAGGGTCACCTCACAAGTCTTGAGAAAGAGAAGATGGGGAAGGTAATAAGGCTTTGAGGGGTTAAGAATATCTATAGTGAGTCTTGAAGAATGAATGGGATAGTTAAGGTAAAGAAAGTGAAAGGGGCATTCCAAGTAAATGTTACAGCATTTGTAAAGTTATGGAGGTAAGAAACCCTTTGCATTGGAGGAAACCTAATAATTCAGTATAGCATCGTATTTGTGTTTTGGAAAGTCTACGAAACAGCTGAATGCTAGTGGAGCAGTGTCAAACTGGAAGTTGGCTACTAATTAAGATGCTATCACAGTAATCTGGTCAAGATATGTTGCAGGCCAGAGCTAAGGGGGTGTCAATAGGGATAGCGAGGAGGGAAAGTGAATGGGTGTGGCTGCAAATAGTACAGGGTCCCTGTGCTGCTGCTTTGGGAACCGAATTGCATTCTCAAAACACAATGTCCACTGTGAGTCCTAACATACTGATGGGAAAGAAAAGAAAAGTAGAGTTTAATATGTAAACACAAATGGCCCCTGGAAAGTTTAAGTTCACATAGTTTCTAGTCACTAGTTCTTCAACAATACTTAGGAGCTCTCCTTGGTTTCTGTAGCCACATTGCTGGTTTTGACTCAGTGATAAGAGAGACACAGAAAAGACTGCAAAGGAAAATAAAAGGGAGACTGGAAGGAGGAAGAAATGTTATCTTGATTATAATACCTGGCTATTGTGATTGCTGGAAACTGTTTCTATGAAATATGTGACTACTACATTAATATTTCATAAACCATCATGTTGATATTTTCGCAAAACAAAGTTAGACGACTTACAATATTTTCTCATTTAGGCTTCAGGTAAGTTTGCAAATGATTAAAAATTATAAAATTTCCTGTCAATGTCATAAAAAATAAAGTATTAAGAAGACAACATTTTCCTTACCAGAATAGAGTGCATTCCCATGTAAATTCTACTTAGGCAAACTAGAGAACACCAGCAGGGAATAAGAATCAGTCCATATATAAGAGGGTACTAAAGGGGAAAAAAAGTAAAATTAGTTAAACAAATTTAAGTTAGATATAAACAAACAAATAAAAGACAAATCAAATCACTATTCTATAAAGTCCACTAAAACAAGAAATTTGTTTTTACTCCCCATTGTATTTCCAGCACCTAACCCTGAGTATGGCACATGGCAGACATTCAAGAAATACTTTTCCACAAATGAACAAATGAATGAAATCTCATGTGTCTAAATTCTTTATTGTGGGAACTGGCTCACTTCTGCTTCTACAATGAAGATTCAATCACTGGCATGGTATAGGAGGAGGAGGACAGGTAAGAGACATACTTTTAATATGGCCACCAAAATGAAAGGGCCTCTGGAATAGTACCTGAATCTGGTCCATGTAAATGTCTTCAGTTGTCTGGGGAGGAGGATTGGCATTATCTCCCTCTCACTTCATCAGTGACTGCTATCTCCAATTTATATTGCTATTCCCCTACCTTGCATTCAGTATTCAACACTTTGTACTTAGTTTTTCACTTCCACCCCATTGACTAAAATTTCAAATGGTCCCCTTACTGAGAAAAATTTCCGTGGAATACTAGGAGCACAAATCATAAAAGGGAAAAAGCATAAACAGAAAGTGCAGACAATTCTTGGTATCAATGGCACTAGTGGAAAAGTTGGCTGTGAATGTCCTGAGATTGGAGGGAAAGAGGAAAGGATGGATGGGCATGGTGGTAAGTTTGTAAAGGGAAGAAGGGAGGGCACATTTGGGGCTGTTTATGCCTGATGACTTCAAATTTCTCAATGAAATTGAAGCCAATGTGGTTAGGGAAGTTGGGTTGAAATAAAGGAGCAAGGGACTTAAGTAAGCTTGTAAGAAGAGTAGAAAATATTTAGTACGAAATTGTTGGTTTTTGGTGGTTTGTTTTGTTCTGTTTTTTTAGAAAGACAGGGTCTCACTATGTTGCTCAGGCTGAAGTACTGAGGCTATTCCCAGGTGTGATAATAGCATACTAACACCTTGAACTCCTGGGCCCAAGTGATCCTCCTGCCTTAGCCTCCTGAGTAGCTGGAACTACAGGCAGAGTTGTTTTTTTTTTTGGTTGTTGTTGTTTTTTTTACATATCTACTACATTTAACATGGTCCCTCACTTTCTCCTTGAAACTCTAAATACCCTCGATAGTCATAGCTTCATACTCTCCTGGTTCACCTTTCACCATTTATTTTTTGCTGCATTTCCCACACAAGAGCGTATCTTCCTCTTTTTGTTCTTTAAACATTAGTATACAGAAGGATTCTGTCCTTAGTAGTTACTGACAGTCTTACCTTTTCCTTTTTTTTGAGACAGGGTCTTACTCTGTCACCAAGGCTGATGTGCGGCAGCATAATCATGGCTCACTGCAGTCTCAACCTCCCAGGCTCAAGCAATCCTCCTGCCTCAGCCTCCCGAGCAGCTAGGACTACAGATGGGTATCTCAAACTCCTGAGTTCAAGCGATCCACACACCTTGGCCTCGCAAAGTGCTAAGATTACAGGTGCAGTGAGCCAATGCACCTGGCCCCCTTTCTTATTTTTTTAACTACTTCTAGACTAGGCATGCTGAAGACCTACCCATTTCCCCGGGTTTAAGAACCATATATCCAACTCTGCACATATTTCCACCTTGAGGTCCCTATGGCAGTAAACCCACTATACCTCAAACCAAACTCATCATCATATCACCCACACTTGTTCCTCCTCTGATATTCCCTATTTCATTTGGAAACACCAAAAACCAAGTAATCCAAATGAGAAACATGAATTATCCTTAATTCTTTCCTTAGCCGTTGTATTCAACAAATAATCAAGTTTTACTAATTTTATATTCTAAATATTCCTTGGGAGAATAATTATATTCTTTTCTGGGAGTATAAGTTCCTATTCTTGCTGGAGGAGGCATTAAACAGTAAACACAAAAGCATGCAAATGATATGATATGTAAATATGTATAAGTTATATAAAATATATAAATCATATAATAAAACCTGATAGGTAACATGGAGAAAATAAAAAGAGAACATGTGTTGAAGAAATAGTAATGCTCATTAATATTCCTTGTGCTCCTCCTACATTTTGGATTCACTTACATTAGGGTCATGCAACTAATTTTGGCCAGTGAGCTGGGGAAAAAAGTGACTTATGCCACTTTCAATCTTCCTTTGAACTCTCTCTTTCCTATAGATGTGACCCTGGGAAACTACATGTTGAGATGCATCACGAGACGGGCAAGCTTCCATCAGCCTAGGTCCTTGAGGGTCAAAGTGGACAAAGCTGTTTGCTAACGCATAATGGATTTGTAACACAAGATTTTTTTTTTTTTGAGATAGGGTCTCGCTCTGTTGCCCAGGCTGGAGTGCAGTGGCATGATCTCGGCTCACTGCAACCTCCACCTCTCAGACTCAAGCGACCCTCCTACCTCAGCCTCCAGAGTAGCTGGGACTAGAGGTGTGCCACCACATCCAGCTGATTTTTTAAAAAATATTTTGCAGAGACAGGGTCTCGCCATGTTGCCCATGACTGGTCTTAAATTCCCGGGCTCAAGCAATTCACCCGCCTTGGCCTCCCACAGTACTGAGATGAGAGGCATGAGCCACCACTCCTGGCCAAGATACAAGATTTTGTTATGTGTTAAGTCATTGCAATTTTGGGATTAAGTCATTGCCACAGTATCAACAAGTCTAACTTAATTAAAACAGATATAAAAATAGGGTCATGAGTTTCAGAGTGTAAATGGGGCAGGTTACAGTATTAAATAGAAGATAGTGTAGGCTTTATTGAGAAGTTGAGATTTGAGGCAAGACGGAATGGAGGTGAGGTGAGTATACTTGCCAAGCAGATTATCTGTGGGAATAGCATATACTAGGCAGGCGAATCAGTGAGCAAAGTTTCTGATCACCAAGTATGACTGGCAAGGAGGCTAGCTGTGGCCATAGCAGAGAGAGCAAGTAGAAGAGGTTAGGGAGGTAATGGGGGGCCAGATCAAGTAGAGCCTGGGAGGCCACCATAAGAAAACTGGCTTCTATTGTGAATCAAATGGGGAGCCACTGCAGGGTTTTGAGTAAAGCTGCTATGTAGAGATTAAATTTTAAGAGAGTAAGGCAAAAACAGGAAGACCAGTTAGAAGGCTGTTGGTATAATCTAGGTAAGAGATAACAGTGGTGTCTGTCTCTACAGCAGGGACTTGACCTTTAAAGTCTTTAAAAACCTTTAAAGTCTAATTTTTAAAAAGCTGTTGACAGCAAAAAAAAAAAAAAAAGAACCAAAAGAAGTAAAAAAAAAAAAAAAGTCAACTTTAAAAAAATCTTTCTGCACTTCCTTCTCTAACTTGGACCCTATAAGGAAGTAGAAATGTACAAAATTACTGATAAGAGTTCTTTATACACAACAAACTGAAGAAAAAATCACCTATAGAGTCTCAGAAGCTAGAGGTGAAGGTAGGACGGGGAAGGGTAGAGATTTTAAATAGGAGCAATGAAACCAAGTATGACTTAACCCACATTTATTCAATTTTACGATGTCCAAGGTGTTTAAAAAGGAGAGATGGAATGTTATCAAGCCAGATGCAGAGGCTAAAGAAGCTATGAGGCTTTCCTTTTCTCTGCTCCATGGCACCTTCAGATTTCACTGGGATGAGGTGACTAAAGAAAACAAAATAAGTCATTTTTATTGACCGACTTTTTTTGGTCATTACTCTCCACCTTTATGATATGTTCTCTAGATTTTTTTATGGAAAAAAAATATTTTGGGGCCAAGCATGGTGGCTCATGCCTGTAATCCCAGCAGCACTTTGGAAGGTCGAGGCAGGCTGATCACTTGAGATCATGAGTTTGAGACCAGCCTGGCCAACAGGATGAAACCTTGTCTCTACTAAAAATACAAAAATTAGCCAGGTGTAGTGGCACGCACCTGTAGTCCAAGCTACTTGGGAGGCTGAGGCATGAGAATCGCTTGAACCTGGGAGGCAGAGGTTGCAGTGAGCCGAGATTGCGCCACTGCACTACAGCCTGGGTGAAGAAGTGAGACTCTGTCTAAAAAAAAATTAAAAAGAAAACATTTTGGGGAACACTTGATCCAGTTCTGACTACATGATGACTTTCATATTTACTCCCCATTGAATAACAGAATTCTGAACTTCTAAGTGTCAAAGTAAAAAAGAATTTCATCAGTAAGCAGACAAAAAAGACTACAGATCTTAATGGCTAAAGGAAATAACAGATAAAGTGATATTTTTTTTTACTGTGCCTAATTTATAAATTAAACTTTATCATAGATACATATGTACAGGAAAAAAACAGTATATATAGCGTTGACTACTATCCACAGTTTCAGGCACCAATGGGGGTCGTGGAACATATCCTCTGCTGATGAGCGGGGCTACTATACCCCCATTCACAGACGAAGTGATCCTAAAGATAGAAAATCCCAAATAATCCATGAAGAAAACATATTAGAATTAATAAATGAATTCAGCAAAGTTGCAGGGTGTAAGATCAACACTCACAAATCAGCTGTGTTTCTACATACCAGCAATAAAAAAAAAACCCTAAAATGAAAGTAAGAAAAATAATTCCACTTTCAGTAGCATCCTAAAGAATAAAATACCCATACCTAGGAATAAACTTAACTAAGGAAGTGAAAGGTTTGTCCATTGAAAACTATAAAACATTACTGAAAGAAATTAAAGACCTAATTAAGGCCAGGCACAGTGGTTCATGCCTATAATCCCAGCACTTTGGGAAGCTGAGGTGGGCGGATCACAAGGTCAAGAGATCAAAACCATCCTGGCCAACATGGTGAAACCCTGTCTCCACTAAAAATACAAAAATTAGCTGGGCGTGGTGGCGCGTGCCTGTAGTCCCAGCTACTTGGGAGGCTGAAGCAAGAGAATTGCTTGAACCCGGGAGGCAGAGGTTGCAGTGAGCTGAGATTGCACCCCGGCACTCCAGCCTGGCAACGGAGCAAGAGAGACTCCATCTCAAAAAAAAAAAAAAAAAAAAAAGACCTAATTAATGAAAAGATATCCCATGTTTATGGATTAGAAGACTTAATACATTAAAACTTAATATGTTAAAATGGCACTATTATCTAAAATGATCTATAGTCAATGTAATCCCTATTTAAGTTTTTTTTTTTTTTTTTTTTTTTGGCGGCAGGTGGGGAGTGGGGTCTCGCTTTATCACCCAGGCTGGAGTGCAATCTAGCAGTGGTTCAATCATAGTTCACCATAGCCTCCAACTCCTGGACTCATGTGATCCTCCCAATGCAGCCTCCCATGTAGCTGGGACTACAGGTGTGCACCACCATACCCTGCTAATTTTTTAATGTTTTATAGAGATGGGGGTCTCGCTATGTTGCCCAGGCTGGTCTCCAACTCCTGGGCTCAAGTGATCCTCCCATTTTAGCCTCCCAAAGCACTGGAATTACAGGCCTAAGCCACCATGCCCAGCCCTTCTGTCAAAGTTCTAATTGCATTTTTGCAGATACTGAAAAGCTGATCCTCAAATTTATATGGAATTGCAAAAGGTCCTGAAGAGCCAAAACAATACTAAAAAAGAAGAACAATGTGGAAGGACTCATATTTTCCAATTTCAAAATTTACTACAGTATTCAAAACAGTGTGGTACTGACATAAGGTCAGACATATAGACCAGTGAAATAGAATCGTGGGCCCCAAACTAAACCCATATACGTATGGTTAACTGATTTTCAATAAGAATGCCAAGACCATTAAATAGGTAAAGAATAGTCTCTTTAACAAATAGTGCTAGGACGTCTGAATACCTACATGCAAAATGATGAAGTTGGACTCCTATCTCATACCATATATACACTCAAAATGGGTCAACAACTTAAATATAGCAGCTAAAAACTTTTAGAAGAAATCATAGGGGCCGGGTGTAGTGACTCACACCTGTAATTCTAGCACTTTGGGAGGCCAAGGCAGAAGGATCGCTTGAGCCCAGGTGTTCAAGACCAGCCTGGACAACACAGTAAGACCCTGTCTCAATAAAGAAAGAAAATCTTTAAAAAAATTTTTAAAAGAAAACACAGGGATAAATCTTTATGACTCTGGATTAGGCAACAGATTCTTAACTATGACACCAAAAGCATGTGTAACAAAAGAAAAACATAGGTAAACTGGAATTTCATCAAAATTTACAAATTGGCCGGGTGTGGCGGCTCAGGCCTGTAATCTCAGCACTTTGGGAAGCCTAGGCAGGAAGATCACTTGAGGTCAGGAATTTGAGACCAGCCTGGCCAACATGGTGAGACCCTGTCTCTATGAAAAATACAAAAAATTAGTCAGGCATGGTGATGTGTGCCTGTAGTCCCAGCTACTTGGGAGGCTGAGGTGGGAGACTCGCTTGAACCCGGGAGGTGGGGGTTGCAGTGAGCCGAGATCGTGCCATTGCACTCCTGCGTGGGTGACAGGGCGAGACTCTGTCTTTAAAAAAAAACAAAAAAACAAAACAAAACACTCATGTACATCAAAGGAAATTATCAAGAAAGTGAAAAGACAGTTTACTAAATGGGAGAAAGTATTTGCAAATGATATATTTAATAAGGATCTAGTATGCAGAATTTGTAAAGAACTCTTACAACTCAAAAACAAAAAGACAACACAATTGAAAAATGGGCAAAGGACCTGAATAGACATTTCTCCAAAGAAGATATACAAATGGCCAAAAAGCACATGAAAATATGCTCGCCTGGCATGGTGGCTCACACTTGTAATCCCAGCACTTTGGGGGGCCGAGGTGGGCAGATTGCTTGAGCCCAGGAGTTTGAGATGAGCCTGGGCAACAAGGCGAAACCCCATCTCTAACAAAAATACAAAAATTAGCCAGGCATGGTGACATGCACTTGTGGTCCCAGGTACTTGGGAGGCTGAGGTAGGTGGATCACTTGAGCCTGGGAGGTAAAGGTTCCCACGAGCCAAGATCATGCCATTGCGTTCTAGCCTGGGTGACAAAGTGAAACCCTGTCTCAAAAAATGGGAAATGAAAATGAAAAATGAAAATCAAAATCACAGTGAGGTACAACTTCATACTCCACTAGGATAGCTATAATAATTAACAGAAAGAAAAAAGACAGGAAAGTAACAAGTATTGGTGAGTATGTGGGGAAATTGGAAGCTTTATACATTGCTGTTGGGATGTAAAATGAAGCAGCTGCTATGAAAAGCAGTTTAGCAGTTCCTCAAAAAGTTAAACACAGAATTACCATACGACCCACACATTTCCAATTTTAACTATATCCCCCAAAGAAATGAAAACCAGTACTCAAATACATTTATACATATGTTCATACCAGTACTATTCACAATAACCAAAAGGCGGGCATAGCCCAAGTGTTCATCAACAGATGAATGGGTAAATTATTTGTGGTATATACAAACAATGGAATAGTAGTCAACACAAAAGGAATGAAGTACTGATGCATGCTACAACATGGATGAACTTAAAAAACATTATGTTAAGTGAATGAAGCCAGACACCCAAGGTCACATATTATACAATTTCATTTATATGAAATATCCAAAATAGGTAAACCTATACAGCCACAACATGGATGGTTGCCAGAAGTCAGGGGGAGAGAGAAACGGGGAGCCAAATGCTTAATGGGAAGAGGGTTCCCTTTTGGGGTGATAAAAGTGTTTTGGAACTAGATAGAAACAACGGTTGTACGACATTGTGAATGTACTAGAGCTGAATTATTCACTTCAAAATTATTAATTTTATGTAAGTTTTACCCCAAGTTAAAAAAAAATAAACCAAAAATAAACATATCCAGAATGTGACCACTTCTACCTCTACCATTATTACCTGCTGTAAGCCACCAGCAATTCTCTCCTGCCTGTATTACTATAATATGTGTCTGGCACATAGTGCGCAGTCAATTAATACTTGTTGAACAAAGTAAACATAAGCCTTCAGCCACCAGCCTTACCATATTATATTCATGAAAACATGTGTCAAACGCCATAGTATCATTCAGTTCCTGGCCTCAAACATGGGCTGTGTTAACCCTTAGTTCTAAGAGCAACTGTGAAATCCACCATAATAAATTGCAATCTGAAAATCCTTTTCAGTAAACTTAAGAAACAGAATCCCAGCACTTTGGGAGGATGAGATGGGTGGATCACCTCAGGTCAGGAGTTTGAGACCAGCCTGGCTAATGTGGCGAAACCTTGTCTCTACTAAAAATACAAAAATTAGCTGGGCCTGGTAGCATGCGCCTGTAGTCCTAGCTACTCGGGAGGCTGAGGTGGGAGAATCACTTGAACATGGAGGCAGAGGTTGCAATGAGTGAGATCATGCCACTGCACTCCAGCCTGGGAGACAGAGTGAGACTCTGTCCCAAAAAAAAAAAAAAAAAAAAACTGACCCATATATAATCATTTAATGTACACATTAAATGAGAAAAATATAATTTAAAACATTCTCAATCTACGGTTTTGACCTATTTGCATCTAATGTCAGTGTTATTACTGTTTCTCTTTTGAACTCTTAAGTTACAAAGAATCAGTTTAGCAACTGAACTCACCATATACACATTATAATTAAAAATATATTTTATATCAAAAACCACAGTAAGGGAAGTGCTATTTGCTACCATACTAGTCGATATAATCTTACGTTAAAAAAACAGGATCTGTGTTCCAGTTCCTATTAAGGAAAGAATCTGTGAAGAAAGAGTAGGGCTACATGTTATAGCTTGTAACACGTCAGAGCTACAGGCAGGCCCCAGCATTCCAGATCATGAGGAAGAAATTCCTGATTGCCTCTCCAGAAACCAATAAATATAGACGTCCAGGCAGTTTCCAAGTCATTAGTACTTCTTCATTATCTACTGATTTTTTTTTTTTTTTTTGAGATGGAGTTTCTCTCTTGTTGCCCAGGCTGGAGTGCAATGGCGCGATCTCGGCTCACCGCAACCTCCGCCTCCCGGGTTCAAGCAATTCTCCTGCTGGTCAGGCTGGTCTTGAACTGCCAACCTCATGTGATCCACCTATCTCGGCCTCCCAAAGTGCTGGGATTACAGGCATGAGCCACTGCACCAAGCCCTTATTAAGTATTTTTTTATGTCTTGGATAATCCACCCTCATCTGCTTCGAGGCTCCAGAAAACTTCTCCAGTGTCTTGTGTGGATTCTGTGCAGATTTTTTTTTTAAATCCCTATTCAAACCTCCAGGGTTGAGAACAAATCTAGTCTGTGGTGACAATAGTTGTATAGCTGCCTCGGCACTCAGGAAAAAGTGAGTGTGGTAGGCTCATTAAGTACAATAATTTTCAAAATGCAAAACGCATTACAATGGCAAACTCAAATTCTGTCTTTCCCACATTAGTAAATTTAGCAATTCTGTAAGAGCTTAGTTTCTATTTTATAAAAAGTCAGAACTAGGGGGACTATCTCTTCCCCCATTCCTCAGTCACAGCAATCTAACTGACCTTTCTCTTGTTTCTGATACATATTTGTGGTATCGTCCTCCACTCTCTCCACTTCTTTTCTATTCCTACCTAACCCAATCTTTCTTTTTTTCTTGGTACTCACTGGCTATAGCAGCAATCCTTTTTTTTTTTTTTTTTTTTTTGAGATGGAGTTTCCCTCTTGTCTCCCAGGCTGGAGTGCAATGCCCCATCTCGGTTTACTGCAACCTCCGCCTCCTGGGTTCAAATGATTCTCCTGCCTCAGCCTCCCAAGTAGCTGGGATTACAGGTGCCCACCACCATGCCCAGCTATTTTTTTTTTTTTTGTATTTTTAGTAGAGATGGGGTTTTGCCATATTGGCCAGGCTTGTCTCGAACTCCTAACCTCAGATGATCTGCTAGCCTCGGCCTCTCAAAGTGCTGGGATTACAGGCATGAGCCACTGTGCCCAGCCAGCAATCCTTTATTTCTGACCGTTAATTTGGCTAGACTTTTTTAAGCCAAAATTCAATTCTAGGCAGACATTAGGAGAAATAAATATGAATTTATTATTTACTGAGA
This sequence comes from Homo sapiens, assembly GCF_000001405.40. Taxonomy (NCBI): domain Eukaryota; kingdom Metazoa; phylum Chordata; class Mammalia; order Primates; family Hominidae; genus Homo; species Homo sapiens. Next base: position 44,623 of record NW_018654721.1, read on the forward strand.
GGTTAGTAATTTTTATTTGACATACAATTTACTACATACCAGGTGCTATTCTAAGAGCTTTTACAAATATTAACCCATGTAATCATCAGAACAACCATATGGCGTAGCTATTCTAATTCACCTCATTTTATAGATGAAACTGCGGCACAGCAGGGTCAAATTTTTGCCCTAAGTCAACCAGCTATCAGGTTATGGATCTGTGATTCAAGCACAGGAAGTCTGATTCCTGAGTCTGAGCTCTTAACTACTACACTATGCTGCCCTTCATATATAAAGTTGTTCAAAGTGTGTTGTTTAATTTCTTTTATCCTTAGGATCAAGTAGAATATCACTCAAATATATTTTAAGTTTTTCTTAGAATGAAGGCTAAATAAAAATTTCATCTAATTAGAGGTAGAAGAGAGCTTAAAGATACTAATTCTGGCTGGGCGTGGTGGGTCACACCTATAATCCCAGTACTTTGGGAGGCCAAGGTGGGTGGATCACCTGAGGTCAGGAGTTCGTGACGAGCTTGGCCAACATAGTGAAACTCCGTCTCTACTAGAAACACAAAATTAGCCGGGTGTGGTGGTGGGGGCCTGTAATCCCAGCTACTCGGGAGGCTGAGGCAGGAGAATCGCTTGAACCCAGGCGGCAGAGGTTGCAGTGAGCTGAAACTATGCCATTGCACTCCAGCCTGGGCAACAAGAGGGAGTCTCTGTCTCAAAAAAAAAAAAAAAACCATTAATTCTATCCCTCTCTCTTTACAGTTAAAGAACAGACCTATGGATGCTAAGTAACATTCAGTATTATACTCTAGTGACCTATTCTAATTCCTTTTCCAATTTATCATTGCTTCTTACTTTATATTTTTATCATTACACAAATGGGTAACAATTTTAAATTTGGCAGGGGTTTCCTGGCTTCTGTTTTCATTTTCATAGAGAATGTTGAGCTGTATCTGTGGCATTTATGTATTTCCTCTAATAAGAATGTTTTTACTGAAATTAAATCTTTAGGTCTTATAGAGTAGAAAGTAAAAATTACAAGTCCTTCACATTATTTTCAAATACATAAAAATGTAAAAATGTACCAAACCCAAAACAGATCACATGACATCCTAGATGTTTTTAATTTCATACCACTATCTAATCTTTTCACTGCACATCCTTGATCACAAGAAAATTTATCTAAACGTTTCCCTCAATTATTCTACCAAACGGCTTTTTTCTTTGTGATATACTTTCTCACTATTATACATAATAAGAATTATTTTGCATATTTTGGCATGTTCCATTTACATTCATTGAAGGTAGTAAATTAAGTCAATAAAATCACTTGCAATTAAAACAATTACAAAAACTGTCTTTAATACAATTTAAATTTTTCAGAGTAACTTAAATATGGAAGGCAGGCACAGGAAAGAATTTCTGTTCAATTCTAGGAATGAATAGTGTACATGTAAACGGATGACAATAATGGCACATTAAAGATAGACATGCCTTGTTCTCATACATTACTAGTGTAATGAAAACTGATACAACCTTTCTGGAAAGCATTTTGTCAATACACAGAAGAGCTCTAAATGTTCATATATATTGACCCAGCAATGCTAGAATTCTATACTAAGGACATAGAAATGTGGGTAAGGATTCATATTTTTAAATGTTTGTCATAAAATTATTGATAACATACAATAATTATAAACCAAATTTATTGGTTATAATGAAGTAGTTAAAAATATGAGTTTATAGAGCTACATAGACCTATCACTATTTACTTCATGCATTATATTGGAACTCCAAACATGTAAATAACAGAAACCAATTTAGATTATTTTAAGAAGAAAAAAAGGAGATGCATTAAAAGGATAGACAGCGTCTCACAGAACCCTAAGGTGGAATGAGGCTAAGCTTGGAGAAGAAACCACAACTATAAACAGAACAGTCACAGGATCATCTTTTCTTTCTATATTTCCGCTTCATTTTTCTTTTTCTACAGACCAGCTTCTCTGCCTTTCAGTCCACATGACAGACAAAGGCTTCTGAATTTACTTCCTCATTGAGAAAACCAGCCCAGACTCTGTACCTGTTCTCAAATCCTAAGGGACGAGATCATGTAAAGAAAATATAGCTTCCCTATAGGTAAGGGAGCTTTTAGAGAGTTATAAACTAGGCAGACACCCCAAAAGCTACTTCTTCAGTTGTAGGACCATGGGATAGGGCTAGCCGCATAATCTCTTTACATCTCAGTTTCCTCATCTATAAATGGGGATACTAAGACCTATAATAATCATAACCCTACAGTATAAAAACTATTTCATAGGAATATTTTTAAAATTTCATTCATTAAGATTGTTTTCTTTCTTTTTTTTTTTTTTTGAGACAGAGTTTCACTCTTGCTGCCCAGGCTGGAGTGCAATGGCGCGATCTTGGCTCACTGCAACCTCTGCCTCCCGGGTTCAAGCGATTCTCCTGCCTCAGCCTCCCAAGTAGCTGGGATTACAGGCGTCCACCACCACGCCCAGCTAATTTTTTGTAATTTTAGTAGAGACGGGATTTCCACATGTTGGCCAGGTTGGTCTTGAACTCCTGACCTCAGGTGATCCGCCCACCTCGGTCTCCCAAAGTGCTGGGATTACAGGCGTGAGCCACTGCACCTGGCCATTAAGATTGTTTTCTAGGGATTTATATTGGTGGGAAAATTCTTTACATAATGTATTACTCAGGGTTCTCCAGAGAAACAGAACCAATAGGATATGTATATCTACATATACAAAGAAAAGTTTATTTTAAGGATTGGTCATGCAGTTGTAGGGGCTGGCAAGTCCAAAATCTGCAGGGCAGGCCGACAGGCTGAAGACCCAGGGAAGAGTTAATGTGTAGCTCAAGTCTGAAACCATTCTGTTGGCAGAATTCACTCTTCTTTGGGGGAGGTCAGTCTTCTCTTAAGGCCTTCATTTAATTGGATAAGACCTACTCACATTATGGAGGATAATCTGCTTTACTCAAAGTCCACTGATTTAAATGTTAAACTTGTCTAAAAACTACTTTCAGAAAAACATCTAGATGTTTTGATCATTTTTGATCAAAAGCTGAGTACTTTTGCTGGCCATGGTGGTCAAGGCCTGTAATCCCAGGAAGGCCAAGGTGGGCAGATCACTTGAGGTCAGGAGTTCCAGACCAGCCTGGCCAACATGGCAAAACCACATCTCTACTAAAAATATAAAACTTAGCTAGGCGTGGTGGTAGGCACCTGTAATCCCAGCTACTGGGGAGGCTGAGGCAGGAGAATCGCTTGAACCTGGGAGGCGGAGGTTGCAGCGAGCCAAGATCGCACCACTGCACTCCAGCCTGGGCAACAGAGCAAGACTCCATCTCAAAAAAAAAAAAAAAAAATCTGAGTACCTTTACTCAAATAAACTGATACATAAAATTAATAATCACATATAATATTAAATAAAAAGAATAAACTCCACATATAATATGGTCCCAACTATTTTCAAATTGTAAGGAAATAAAAAATTAACATTAGCTTTTTCTTTTTTTAATTTATTTTCTAAGTCTTCTATAAATTTCAGTACTTATCTTGCTTGTTCTCTTAGCAGAATAACAATGTTAACTACTTTTCTTTTCTAGAAACACCCTCTCTCTTACTTTCACTTCTGGCTTCCCTCTGTACTACATTCATTTTATGATACTGTCCAATCTACACCCCTCTCTTCTGAAAACTTCCCCCACTTGGACCCAGCAGTGTGGCCCTGGAGACATGCTCATCCCCTGTGATCCTGCTCCCTTGACCACAGCTACTTGGATCAGGAATGAACACTTGGCACTAGGGAAGCAAAACCATTGGCTGTGCTGAGCCAGTCAGATTCTTTTTTCTAAAAGTAGCTGCAAATAAAGTCAGAAAGAGAGTCTCTACTGTGTGCTTGAATTTATAAAAATAAAACTATGAGTGAGGCAGACATGTGCGTATGAAAACAGAACATTTTTAATTTTTTTGTATTTTTTACTTATTTTTTGTTTGTTTTTTTGAGGGAGGGTCTTGCTCTGTTGCCCAGGCTGGAGTACAATGGCACCGTTACAGTTCACTGCAGCCTCAACCACCTGGACTCAAGTGATCCTCCTGAGTAGCTGGGACTATAATCCCAGCTACTTGGGAGGCTGAGGCAGGAGAATTGCTTGAGTCTGTGAGGTGGAGGTTGCAGTGAGCCGAGATCGTGCCATTGTACTCCAGCCTGGGCAACAAGAGCAAAACTCTGTCTCAAAAAAAAAAAAAAAAAAAAAATGGCATTTCACCATGTTGCCCAAGCTGGTTTCGAGCTCCTGGGCTCAAGCAATCCACCATTCTCAGCCTCCCAAAGTTCTGGGATTACAGACCTGCACCACTGTGCCCAGCAGACCCTCTCTTCTTCTGTGTGTACTCATTTTGCACCTATATGCTGATGACAAGAAACTGGTCCTGATCTTCATGTATAGAACCATCTCCTGGACAGCTCCAGATGACTTATAGACACTTCAAACTCGAAATACCTAAAACTGAAGTCATCTCCATGCCGTTGCCACTTTCCCCAAATCTGACCCACTTTCATTATTTGCTATTTCTATAAACCAAACTACTACTTCTCAGCTTGCCAAGCAGGAAACCTCAGAACAATACTTTTTTTCCTTCTTACTGATATATCCAATTAGTCACCATGTTTTGTCAATTCTACCTCTTAATATCTATCAAATTCACCCATTTCTCTCTACTGCCATTGACACTAAGTCAGGGACTGGCAAAGCTTTTTGTAAAGAGCCTGATAGCAACTATTTAGGCTCTGTGGCCTAAACGGTCTATGTCAGAACTGGTGTCAGTCATAATCCCAAAAGATACAATCCTGAATGTTGAAATCCCAAAAGATCAAAATCTCTAAAGTCTAAAATCTCTAATATCTAAAATCCTGAAAATTAAAAACCCAAAATATTAAAATCCTGGAATTTGAAAGCCAAAATCTAGGGAAGAAATTTAGCACATTTTTGGTTGTATGTGGGATAGCCATATCATGTTAGGTGAAGTATTTTCTTGCTATTGTCTTTACATGGAAATTATATACAGTTCATACATATGGGTGTGAAGTTGACAAGGTTTGAATTTGTGGACTTAATTTTAGGTGTCAGCTTGACTGGATTAAGAAATACCTAGAAATCTGGTAAAGCATCATTTTGGGTGTGTCTGTGAGCATGTTTCCAGAGGAGATTAGTGTATGAGTCAGAGTGGACTAGATGGGAAAGATCTGCCCTCAATGTTGGCATGCACCATCTAATCTGCAGGAGGCCCAGACAGAACATATCCAGAAGGTTAACTGGATTCTTTGGGAGATGGGACAGACTTTTCTTCTGCTGCCTTGGATGTTAGAACTCCAGGCTCACCAGCCTTGGGATTCCAGCACATACTTACACCAGCAACCACCCAGATCCTGAGGCTTTCAGCCTTGGACTGGGAGTTACACCATCAACTTCCCTGGTTCACAAGGTAAAAATGTAGAAACTTAATAAACGAAGTGATGTACATCTGCATTTGTGAAAGATAAAATTTCTTGAGATCTTGACTCTTTGGGTGACTGCACATGTGGTAGCTGGCCCATGTGGTTTTTGATGGATCTCATCAAAAGGCTCAGATTGTCTATCATGGTATTTCAGATGACCACAGTTAATAAAGTGGAGTGCACACAATTACCAGCCATAGTGATAAATGTTTGTACTTCACTTTTTTAACTCTTTATTTTTTTTAATTTTCATTTTTTACTAATGGAGTCTCGTTCTATCTCCCAGGCTAAGACACAGTGGCATGATTATAGTTCGCTGCAGCCTCCAACTCCTGGGCTCAAGTGATCCTCCCACCTCAGCTTCCCAAGTATCTGGGACTACAAGTACATACCACCACACCTGGCTAATGTTTAAATTTTGTGTAGAGAAAGGGTCTTGATTTGTTGCCCAGGCTGGTCTCGAACTCCTGGCCTCAAGTGATCCTCCTGCTTTGGCTTTCCAAAGTGCTGGGATTACAGGCATGTGCCACCATGCCCAGCCTTGACCTCCTTCTATTTTTATTTATTTTTTTTTTTTTGAGACAGGGTCTCACTGAGTTGCCCAAGCTGGAGTATAGTGATGTGGTTACAGCTCACTGCAGCCTCAGGTGATTTTTCCCCACCTTAGCCTCCAGAGTAGCTGGGACCACAGGCACACACCACCACGCCTGGCTAACTTTCTATATTTTTTATAGTGATGGAATTTCACCATGGTGCCCAGGCTGGTATCCTGAGCTGAAGAGATCCTCCTGCCTCAGCCTCCTAAAGTGCTGGGATTACAGGCATGAGCCACTGCTCCCAGCCGACCTTTTTTTTTTTTTTTTTTGAGATGGAGTGTTGCTCTTGTTGCTCATGCTGTGATTTTGGCTCACTGCAACCGCTGCCTCCCGAGTTCAAGTGATTCTCCGCCTCAGCCTACCAAGTAGTTGGGATTACAGGCGCCTGCCACCACGCCCAGCTAATTGTTTGTATTTTTAGTAGAGACAGGGTTTCACCACGTTGGCCAGGCTGGTCTCGAACTCCTGACCTCAGGTGATCCACCCACCTCAGCTTCCCAAAGTGCTGGGATTACAGGCATAATCCACCGCACCCAGCCAATGACCTTATGAATACAGTTCATCTGCTCATAACTGTTGTACCTGTGCAACTGTCATTAGTATACCTGAGTATGCTTATAAAAATATGTATGTTATTATTGTCTATTTTATTGTTTAAAGTGACTTATGAAGCATTCTGTTGTGTGTTTGTATGTTGTTCGAATAAAACCCCCTTTTTTTTGAGCCGGAGTTTCACTCTTGTGAAACTCAGATCCATGAGAAAAGGGAAACAAATGAGCCCTGTGATTGCATTATCCTGCTGCTAGAGGCAGTTTCCAGGCTGTAGCACAGGAGGAAGAATCAAAACTGAGTCCAGCAGTTTCCCTGAGTTAAGGGGAGAAAGACTAGTATCCTCAGAAGCCAAAGAGGCTGTAATTTGCAGGACAGAGTATTGGAGAGACAAATCTCAGAGACTGAGCCCTGGAGATATGTAGAGGGAACTCATGAAGTTGCTGGCTGAGTACTAATCTGTGCATGCATGGGGAGAAATCCACCAGACTGTAGAAAAAACCACTGTGGAGAGGAGCAGGCCAAACAATTCCCAAAGCTCATATAAGCTTGCAATTGCTTTCCCATCAAGCAGTGAAGAGGGAATTGGGTAGAATGGTTAGAAGGTTATCATGTAAGTAGTGAAGCTAAATTAGCCTTAACCTACGATTATTCTGGACCATCCTATCAAACCTAGAAGGATTTAAACTGACAAGTAATTTAACTGCACACCAGAACAAACTCCAAGACTATGTAAAGAAATACAACAAAATCCAAAACTGTAAAAATTACCAAGCAAGGAATTAGGAAAATATGATCTATAATCAGGAGAAATAATAGAAACACACAAAGATGACAAAGATGATGGAATTAGAAGATAAATACCTTAAGATTGCTATAAAACATCTTATAAATTGGCTGGGCAAGGTACTGTAATCCCAGCACTTTGGGAAACGGGGGTGAGAGGATAGTATGAGCCCAGGAGTTCAAGACCAGCCTGGCCAACATGGTGAAACCCCATCTCTACTAAAAATACAAAAATTACCTGGGTGTGGTGGCGAGCGCCTGTAATCCCAGGTACTTGGGAGGCTGAGGCAGGAGAATCGCTTGAATCCGGGGGGTGGAGGTTGCAGTGAGCCAATATCACACCTCTGCACTCTAGCCTGGGCAACAGAGCAAGACTCAGTCTCAAAAAAACAAACAAAAAAATTAAAAATATAAAATTAAAAAATTTAAAAAATTAGCCAGGCATGGTGGCACACACCTGCAGTCCTAGCTACTCTGGATGCTGAGGCAGGAGGTTCCCTTAAACCCAAGAGTTCGAGGCTCTTGGGTTTAAGATCTCACAATTGCACCCCAGCCTGGGTGACAGTGAGTCTCTGTACCCAATAATACTTTTTTTTTTTTTGAGATAGAGTCTCACGCTGTCACCCAGGCTGGAGTGCAGTGGCACAATCTCAGCTTACAGCAACCTCTGCCTCCTGGGTTCAAGCAATTCTCCTGCCTCAGCCTCCCAAGTAGCTGGGATTACAGGCGCCCACCAACATGCCAGCTAATTTTTGTATTTTTAGTAGAGAGGAGGTTTCTGCATGTTGGCCAGGCTGGTCTCAAACTCCTGACCTCAGCTGATCCACCTGCCTTGGCCTCCCAAAGTGCTGGGATTACAGGCATGAACCACCGTGCCCAGGACCCAACTGTAATTTTTAAAAATCTTCTGAACTTACTCAAGAATACAGAAATATAATGAGCTGAGAAATTGAAGATTTTTTAAAAGACCCAAATGCAATTTCTAGATATAAACTACACAGAATCTGAAATTATACCCTATCCTACTTGATAAAATTACCAGAAAATTAGAGATTGCAAAAGAACAGGTAAGTGAACTTAAAGCCATAGCAACAGAAACTGTAAAAAAGGAAGCAGGGAAAGCAAAAATGCTTAAAAAAAAAAAAAAGAATAGAGCTTCAGGGACCTGTGAATGAACAGTTTAAAACACATGAAATTGGAATTTCTCTTTTTTTTTTTTTTTGAGACGGAGTCTCACTCTGTCGCTCACGCTGGAGTGCTGTGGCATGATATCCGTTATCGGCTCACTGCAAGCTCCACCACCCAGGTTCACGCCATTCTCCTGCCTCAACCTCCCGAGTAGCTGGGACTACAGGCACCCACCATCATGCCCGGCTAATTTTTTTGCATTTTTAGTAGAGCTGGGGTTTCACCATGTTAGCCAGAATGGTCTCAATCTCCTGACCTCGTGATCCGCCAGCCTCGGCCTCCCAAAGTGCTGGGATTACAGGCATGAGCCACCACACCCGTACTGAAATTGGAATTTCCAAAGAACCGAATGGAAGTGGGGAAGGGAGAGGAAAAAAATTCTAAAAATAATGCTGAAGATCTTCCAAATATAACGAAAACTACAAACCCATGGATTCAAGCTCAATGACCTCAAAGCAGAAGAAATACAAAGAAAAAGCATGTTAAGGCACATCATTTTTAAATTGCTCAACACTAGAGAAAAAGAGAAAATTTTAAAACCAGCCAGAATAAAAAATACATATTAAGTACTGGGGATCACAAATAAGAATTTCAGCAGATATTTTGTCAAAAACTATGCAAGCCAGAAGGCAATGGTACAACATAGTACTAAAAGTGCCAAAAGTAGCCGGGCACAGTGGTTTACAACTGTAATCCCAACACTTTAGGAGGCTGAGGCAGGCAGATTACTTGAGGTTAGGAGTTTGAGACCTGCCTGGCCAACACAGTGAAACCCTATCTCTACTAAAATTACAAAAAAATTAGCCAGGCATGTTGGTGCTCGCCTGCAGTCCCAGCTACTTGGGAGGCTGAGGCAGGAGAACTGCTTGAACCCAGGAGGTGGAGGTTGCAGTGAGCCAAGATTGGGCCACTGTATGCCATCCTGGGGAACAGCGCAAGACTCCATCTCAAAAAAAAAAAAAAGAAGTGCCAAGAGAAAAAACAAAACTATCAACCTAGAATTCTGAATTCTGTATCTTTATTTTTGGATTCTGTACCTCATGAAAATATTTTTCCAAAATTAATTCAATATATTTTTCAAATAAAAGAGCTAAGGAAATGTTATCACCAGCAGATCTATAGTAGAAAAAATGTGAAAAGAGGCTCTTTAGGTAGGAGAAAAATTATACCAGTTCCAAAACCATATTGGGACATTCTATATCATACATTGGAACATTATACAAAAATAATAACGATGAATTGTGAGCCTTAGGACATATATGGATATAAATGCATGACAAAGAGAGGGCAGGGATAAGTGGAAATATACTGTTGCAAGGTTCTGATGCTATACTTGAACTAATGTAATATTATTTTAAGGTGAAGCAACCACTAAAAAAAGATACAGTTTTTAAAAATCAACATGTGCCCTATAAATATATGCCTACTAGGTACCCATAGCAATAAAAAAATTAAAAATCTGTAAAGATCAGTAAGTAAAATACCAATAATCTAAGTGAAAAAAAATAAAAGAAATGCTTTGAATAGACAGCTCACAGAAAAGGAAACATAAGTGGTCAATAAACCTATGGAAAGTTCTTCAACTTTACTGATAAGACTAATTCAAATTAAATACAATGTTAAAATTACTTTGTCATCTGTAAAATTAGGATAGTAAAAATTCATATATATGTATATACATATATATATATATATATATATATATATATATATATATTTTTTTTTTTTTTTTTTTTTTTTTTTTTTGACATGGAGTTTAGCTCCTGTCATCCAAGCTGGAGTGCAGTGGCATGATCTTGGCTCACTGCAACGTATGCCTCCCAGGTTCAAGCGATTCTCCTGCCTCAGCTCCCGAGTAGCTGGGATTACAGGTGCTTGTCACCACACCCGGCTAATTTTTGTATTTTTAGTAGAGACAGGGCTTCTCCATGTCTGACCTCGGCTGATCCGCCCACCTCAGCCTCCCAAAGTGCTATGATTACAGGTGTGAGCCACCACGCCTGGCCACATAAAAATTATTTTTTTTTAATTTAAGAAAAATTATTTTGAGGAATATCAATAAATTTGATAACATACTGCAACACTGAAAGCATAGGAAACCAGATACTCTCATACATTTCCAGGATGAATGTAAATTAGTACAATCTTTATGACAGGCAATTTTACGTTATCTGTTAAAATTTAAATGCCTATATTCTTTGACATAGTAATGTGTTCCAGTAAACAGTCACTGTGTCATTACACTAGCAAACAATTGGAAAACTAAAGGTATTGGAATATTTCTTGAGGGGAGCGCTGGGAAAATAAATAAATAAATGTATAGAAATAGTCAACTTATTAAATTATGTCATATTAATATATTGGAACAGCATGCAAATGTGAAAAAAATTAGATAGCATTTTCTCTCTCCTTCTGTTTGCCTCTCTCCCTCTCTCTCTCTATATATATATAGAATTAATTTATGTAAGGCATTTTTAAAAATCATAGACACATAATTAGTATTCATTAATTGTTGGACTTAAAAAAAAAAAGAAGGCCAGGCACGGTGGCTCATGCCTGTAATCCCAGAACTTTGGGAGGCAGAGGCGGGCGGATCACCAAAGGTCAAGAATTCGAGACCAGCCTGTCCAATACGGTGAAACCCCATCTCTACTGAAAATACAAAAAAAAAAAAAAAATTAGCTGGACATGGTGGTAGGTGCCGGTAATCCCAGCTACTCGGGAGGCTGGGGCAGGAGAATTGCTTGAACCCAGGAGGGGGAGGTTGCAGTGAGCAAAGATGGCACCACTGCACTCCAGCCGGGCGACAGAGGGAGCCTGCATCTCACAAAAAAAAAAAAAAAAACATGCTGGGCATGGTGGCTCATGCCTGTAATCCCAGCACTTTGGTAAGCTGAGGCAGGAGGATCATTTGAGCCCAGGAGATTGAGACCAACCTTGGCAACATGGTGAAACCTATGTAAAAACAAAAATGGTAAGAAAAAAAGAAGAAATAGAAAAAAAGGAAGGAAGGATGGGAAGGAAAGAGAAAAAGGAAAAGAAGGATGGATGGATGGAAGGAAGGAAGAAAGAGACGGAGGGAGGGGAAGGAAGGTCTTTGCAATATATTACTAAGTGATAAAAGCAAGATCCAGAACAGTACAGTATATTACCTTGTGTATGAATAATAAACTATATAGGCCGGGTGCGGTGGCTCATGCCTGTAATCCCAGCACTTTGGGAGGTCGAGGCGGGTGGATCACCTGAGGTCAAGAGTTCAAGACCAGCCTGGCCAACATGCTGAAACCCCATTTCTACTAAAAATTAAAAAAATTAGCCGGGCGTGATGGTGGACGCCTGTAATCCCAGCTAGTTAGGAGGCTGAGGCAGGAGAATCACTTGAACCTGGGAGCCGGAGGTTGCGGTGAGCCAAGGTCGCACCATTGCACTGCACTCCAGCCTGGGCAACAAGAGCAAAACTCCGTCTCAAAACAAACAAACAACTATATAAATGTATGTCTGCAAAAGTAGAGACTACCTCTGGGAAGCTAAACAAGAGATGTCTAACACTGAATCCTTCAGAAAAAAAGACCCTAGAAGCTGTGGGACAGAGAAAGAAATGTACTCTTCTTTTCATGTTTCTTTTTTTGAGACAGAGTCTTGTTCTGTCAGCAGGGTTCAAGCAACCTCTGCCTCCCAGGTTAAAGCAATTCTCCTGTCTCAGCCTCCCAAGTAGTTGGGACTACAGGCACCTGCCACCACACCCAGCTAATTTTTGTATTTTTAATAGACACGGGGTTTCACCATATTGGTCAGGCTGGTCTTGAACTCCTGACCTCAGGCGATCCGTTCGTCTCGGCCTTCAAAAGTGCTGGGATTACAGGCGTGAGCCACAGCACCCAGCCTAATTTCTGTATTTTTAGTAGAGACAGGCATGGTGGTGGGTGAGCCAAGATCGTGCCACTGCACTCCAGGCTGGGCAACAGAGCAAGACGCCATCTCAAAAAAAATACAAAATTAGCCGGGTGTGGTGGCACACACCTGTCATCCCAGCTACCCAGGAGGCTGAGGTAGAAGAATCACTTGAACACAGGAGGCGGAGGTTGTAGTGAGCCACGATCATGCCACTGCACTCCAGCCTGGTGACAAGAACAAGACTTCGTATCCAGAAAAAAAAAAAAGGAATTAGTAATAAGGACTTATAAACTCAGGAAAACGTGAATTTCAAACACAAGTATCGTGCTCCATAAAAAAGAGGCAAGCCAATTCAATTTTTTAATAAACTGTGTTTCTTTCCAGAATTACCATAGTGATCAATTTTTCTTGGATCTTGCAGCCTCCTCTGGTCTTTACTGTGACCTACTTTTGTAACTCTTACTTTTTGCCTTTCTTCCATTTATCTTTTCATGACCTCACAGATATCTTCTTCTATTATTTACAGTAAACAACATTTTGACAGAATATTCTTATGTGTCTTTCTTTTCCAAAGCTCTTACTATGTTTATCAAATTTTTTATTTATATTAGGTGACAAATCAGCATTTGATTTCAGTCAACATCTTCATACATGTTTAAAACACAAATATTTGTGGATGTTGCATATGTATGTACATACACAAACACAAATTATCTTCTCAAGGTATATAAAAGCTATTCTCATATTTTAAGAATACAATCATATATTTCAAAAATAATATTACTGCAAGCATACCTTAAAAATCACACACAAAGTGTGATTTAAAATGAATTTTCTATATAAGCTGCTGAGTCAGTCTGAGCCCCTGACACTTACTGGCTAGGTTACTTTGCTTAAGTTACATAATATAACCTCCCTGTACCTCAGTTTCCTCATCTGTAAACCCATGCTAGTAATAGGAACATTGGGGTATTATAGAAGAGTAAATGAGATAAAAGACATTTCAAACAATGTCTGATTCATAGTAAGTGCTTAAAAATATATATTAACAGCTGGGCGCAGTGGCTCATGCCTGTAATCCCAACACTTTAGGAGTCCAAGGTGGGCAGATCACAAGGTCAGGAGTTAGAGGCTAGCCTGACCAACATGGTGAAACCCTGTCTCTATTGAAAAAAAAAAAAAAAAAAAATTAGCCGGGCGTGGTGGGGCGTGCCTGTAATCCCAGCTACTCAGGAGGCTGAAGTAGGAGAACTACTTGAACCCAGGAGGCAGAGGTTGCAGTGAGCCAATATCGCACCACTGCACTCCAGCCTGGGCAACAGAGTGAGACTCCATCTCAAAAAATAAAAAATAAAAAATAAAAATATTAACAATGCTATAACATTATTATTATAAAATATAATTATTATAATAAAAAGTAGTAAAAGCACACAAAATGAAAGACTAGTTGGCAATGAGTTGTCTATAAAGTAAGTGCTACAGCTAATTTTTAGCAGGGCAAGGTGGCTGACGCCTGTAATACCAGCACTTTGGGAGGCCGAGGTGGGAGGATCACTTGAGCTCAGGAGTTCAAGACCAGCCTAAGCAACATGGCAAAACCCCGTCTCTATAACAAACAAACAAACAAACAAAATTAGCTGGTGGTAGTGTGTGCCTGTGGTCCCAGCTACTTGGGAGGCTGAGGTGGGAGGATCACTTAAGCCTGGGAGGTCGAGGCTGCAGTGAGCCGGAATCGTGCCACTGTACTCCAGTCTGAGCGACAGAGTAAGACCCTGTCTCAAAAAAAAAAAAAAAAAATTAATCTAAAACCTTCTAATTAAATAAAGTATACAGTTAAAACTGATTACATTCCATATTATTTAAAAATTAAATTAATTCAAGTCAAACAGAGCTTTAAAAATTAAGAAATTTTATTTTTGAAAAGAACATGCAAACATAAATGGAAAAGGAACGTCATATTGTTTATCTTATTCTTCAAAGGACTATTTATTGTCTTTATATCAGATGCTCCTTATTTCTTAATTTTTTTTCCAATTCAGGCTACAAAAAATTCCAATGAATAATATGAGAGCAATAACCATTATCCTAGGCAATGGATCTCAAGTTATTTAATCCTTGGGAAAAGGTCATAACATTTTCTATCCTCCATCACCATAAAATTTATATACAAAACTCTTTAAGTAATTACTTGGAGCTATACTATTCCAATCTCTCCTTTGTCTTATAACGTACCTTAAAAAAATTCAGGCAGGGTGCAGTGACTCACGTCTGTAATCCCAGCACTTTGGGAGGCTGAGGGGAGTGGATCACGAGGTCAAGAGATCGAGACCATCCTGGCCAACATGGTGAAACCCCGTCTCTACTAAAAATACAAACATTAGCCGGGGGTGGTGGTGTGCGCCTGTAGTCCCAGCTACTGAGGAGGCTGAGGCAGGAGAATCGCTTGAACCGGGGAGGCAGAGTTTGCAGTGAGACAAGATCACACCACCACACTCCAGCCTGGGTGACAAAGAGAGATTTCGTCTCAAAAAAAAAAAAAATTCAAAGACTGGAATTTCAAAGAAGCTGAGACAGCAATCTTGAAGAAATACAACTAACTCCTCACTCATCTAATGGGTCAGAATCTCTGGGAAACTTACCCTGGGAAATGTAGAAATCTGCATTTTTAAACAACCCCGAGTTTGTACGCTGTCTTTTTTTTTTGAGATAGGGTCTTGCCCTGTCATCTAGGCTGAAGTGCAGTGGTGCAATCACACCTCACTGCAGCCTCAACCTCCCAGGCTCAAGTGATGCTCCCACCTCAGCCTCCCTAGTAGCTAGAACTACAGGCATGCGCCACCATGCCCAGCTGATTTTTGATTTTTTTTTGCAGAGACAGGGTCTCGCTATATTGCCCAGGCTGGTCTCCAACTCCTGGGCTCAAGGGATCCTTCCGCCTCAGCCTCCCAAAGTGCTAGGTGTACAGGGATGAACCACTACACCTGGCCATATACTGTCATTTTAAGTGTAAGTGAGGAATAATGAAACAGAAAGGATTAATTTAAAATGCTCTGGGTGGTGAATCTTGAGCAAATTTCAATGAGGGCAGAAACATTAAGTAGTAGGTAGTAGTGAAGTAGTAAAGCCAAGACAAAGGAATGGTATAGAACTCAGTTTCAAGAGATGTTTCAGCACGCCAGGCATATATAAGTAACCATACCTGTCCCAAATAAGCAGCTGAGGCACAGCAGATAGGCAAGACTGCCAACCAAAACTTATTAGAAAAACACCAGGCTTTCATTATTTAATTCTTCCCCCAGTTTCTAGGGGAAAGGCTTTCTATATAAGCCTCCAATGCAGTACAATACTAATTCACAGAGTAGAGGACCCAAACAGCTGAAGCAAAGGAAGGTACTTTTGTTTTCAATAGATAACAAGGATCTTTAAAAAAAAAAAAAAAAAAAAAAAAAGGAAAAGGAAAAGGAGGCCAGGCGCGGTGGCTCACGCCTGTAATGCCAGCACTCTGGGAGGCCAGTGGTGGGGAGGCCGATGAGCGGGGGGCGGCTAATTTTTTGTATTTTTTAGTAGAGACGGGGTTTCACTGTGTTAGCCAGGATGGTCTCAATCTCCTGATTGAGATCAGGAGATTGCAGAGAGCCGAGATTGCGCCACAGCACTCCAGCCTGGGCAACAGAGCGAGACTCCGTCTTAAAAAAAAAAAAGGAAAAGCTGGCACTTGGGAGGCCAAGGAGGGAGGATAACTTGAGCCCAGGAGTTCGAGACCAGCCTAGGCAATATAGTGAGACCCCGACTCTTAGGGAAAAAAAAAAGGAAAAAGGTTAAAAAGCCATCTTGTTTTTTGTACTGGATTATTAGTCAAACATTTATAAACACAGAACTTTCATATAAAGGAGGCTTAGGCCAGGCGCAGTGGCTCACGCCTGTAATCCCAGCACTTTGGGAGGCCGAGATGGGTGGATCCCCTGAGGTCAGGAGTTCAAGACCAGCTTGGCCAAAACAGTGAAACCACATCTCTACTAAAAATCCTTAAAAAATTAGCTGGTGTGGTGGTAGGCGCCTGTAATCCCAGCTACTCGGGAGGCTGAGGCAGAGAATTGCTTGAACCTGGGAGGCAGAGGTTGCAGTGAGCCGAGACTGCACCACTGCACTCCAGCCTGGGCAACAGAGCGAGACTCCGTCAGGAGGCTTTCTTTCAGAACAACTAACCGAAAAATCATGCAAATTTAGAGTGAAAAAATGTAAAATAAGAAATTTAAAGCATTACAAGATTAATTTTAATGTAACTGGTCAGTTTGCACATCTGTAAAATGACAGTTTGAAACTAAGTGATTTCTAACATCCGGTCTACTTCAAAGTCTAAAATTCTATGATACGCAAATTTCTTAAACTTTGAGTTAAATATACTAGGTTGTTTAAAAACTAAATCTAAGCTTATTCTGATAATTCAAATAACCCTGAAATGTTAGAATATCAATATCCCATAAACGATTCAGCAGTACTGTTTTCAGACTTCCAGTTAGTATGTGTCCAGAACAAATAAAGAGCAAAAATAGCTATTTTCTCTTACTTTGACTGCTAATACTAATAGCATACAAAATAGCTACTCACTGAGAAGGCATCATAAAAGGCTCTATTGTTACAGAATCCTAAAAGTCTCACGAAAATAAGAGAAACATCATCAGCTAACATCACCAGGCCAAACACAGCTCATTGAAAATCTTAAATTCTGAAATATTTAGATTAAATGAAAACTTCGAGATATTTATCTGTTACGCAAAACAGGTAGCACTGCTTCACAATCTGAACATCACCGTATAGCTCCTTTGGTTAAACAGAAAAAAACTTCCCATGGTACTCTTTCCTCCTAATTCTGCCATTCTTACTATGCACAATGCGTATTTTCCATGTACTGTAAGAGAGATGCACTACACAGAAGTATCCATGGGGACGAAATTTTATCTACACTGAAATTTAATGTGGGATAAGTAAGCTTATCATAATGGAGTTTTACACAGAATGTGTATTTCTCAATGTAAAATGATTTTGTGAAGTAAAGGGGGAAAAAATAGAGGAAGTTTGTTTCCTTAGAATCTCCACAATTACGCACTTTATTCTTAAAATAAGGGACTGGTCTGCAGGATTAACAAATCTTACAGTTCAAAGACAGATAAACATTGGAAGGCCAAAAGAAGTAAGCAAAATAAAAACGATTACCATTAAAAACTCTTCCCTTGGCAGTTTTCAGAGAGGGTTAAAAAAAAAAAAAATTTTCCTGATTGTCAGGCTGACCCTGCTGTCATATTTGCCATTTTTATAAACCCACTAGTTTGATCAAGAGCCCTATCTTTAAGAATAACTTTTAAACCATGCATTTTTAGAGTTAATGAGGCAATAACACTATAGTATTACAGTTGTAGCTCAACAACTGTTAGATACTACAGATTAGTGATCCAGAAGATAATCAAACTTTATCAGCAAAGTAGCAACCACACCCCTTAAAAACAGAACTCACCCTGTGCTCCATTAACTTCCATAAAGGGAACTTCGATGAAAATCGATTACTTCATTGCTTGGAACTAGCATGTTTGTTTTGGAATTACACTAACGTTTTGTAAACACTGTCTCACGGTAAAGCTAATGACTTTACCTCTTTCTGAAACAGTTTTAGGGAAGAAGGCACCATATATTACGGTGAAACTGGGTCTTAGTTTACATAGCGATTATTTAAAAAATTCACTTCCACTGTGCATTACAAGAATTAAAGCCGTTTAAAAAACTCAACCAAAGCCCAATGACAATGTATTACTCTAGGAAAAGTGTGTCCTTTGGGTTCTAAGGCATTAAATTGGAATTTAATATTAAAATAGAATTCAACGGCTAAGTATCCAGTTTCCCCCAATCACTTAATTTTTCAAAACCCAGAAAGGGCCTGTTTGCGAGTATTGTGAAAACCTGTGGAAAGAGAGGCTTTGGAGGGGAACGGTCGAATTAAAATAAATGCAGAGAGCAAAGAGAACTCCGAGTTCTTTGAACTCCCCCAGGCTGAACAGGACGAGAAGGAACCCTACCTGCCAGCGGCCATAGGTGAGGAGGACCATAGAAATGGGGATGGCGGTGCCGGACATGGCATGGGTGGAGGGCATGCTGTACTCAGAGTTGTAGAAGACCTCCAACTTGACCACGGGCGGCGAGGCGGGCCTCGGCCAGCGGATGATGTCCTTGGTGCACTGGCCCAGGTACATGACCAGCACCCAGATGACCACGAGCCTCCGGCCCACCAGAGGGTCCAGGTTCCAGATCCAGAAGGGGAAGAACAGGATGTAGAAGAGTTCGTTGCCCAGCTCCGTGCCGAAGCAGAACAGGCAGTAGAGCGGCCAGTTGCTCACGCGGGCCAGCTGGCCCTCCTCGCCCGTCAGCGAGTTGCGGCGCAGAGCGCCCGCGCGCCGCGGCGAGGCCGGGCCCAGCTCGGCCGCCAGCCCGTTCCGCACGCCGTTGGGGGCGCCGCCGCCGTCCGGCTTGGCCGGGCACTGATTGCGGTCGCTCCCGGGAGGCTGGGGGCCTCCAGGCGCCCCTGGCTGCCGCCCTCGCAGTCGAGGGTCTCCGGCGAGAGGCGCCTCCGCTTTCTCATCCTCCCTCCGGTCTGCTGAGCGGCGCGGCGGCGCTTCCACCCCGCACAGCCGCTGGAAACGGGCCACTTTCTGCGGGTCCTGCAGACGGCCAACCAGCTGGGCCAGGCGCTGCCTCAGCGACATGATAACGGAACCCCCGGGAAGGCGGGCCGGCCTCCGGCGCAGCCCCGAACTGTCCCCGCGCTCCTGGCCAGCGGCAGCGGAACCGGCACAGCGCTCTACCCTCCGGAGTCTGCCGGGTGACGGCGCCACAGGCCGCGCGCCCCCGCCCCGCGCGCGCCGCGCCCCGCCCCGCCCAGCCCCGCCCCCACCCGGGCTCCCTGAGGGGCCGGGCCGCGCGGGTCCGCCCTGAGCGCATCCGGCCGTGGCTTGGCGCTGAGGATCGGCGGGCGGCCGCTTTGAGGTCCCGGGTAATATCCACCAGCAGGCGTCGCGGCGTACGTCTGGTGGGACGCGGCGTGTCCCCCTGCTCCACCTTCAGCCCTTCTTCTCCGCGGGCTAGTGTCGCCGGATTCCCTCAGCCAGAAGTTGACTTAAAGAGGCCACGATCCCGGTGCCAGCTTGCGCAATGCCTGTGACCAAGCAGCCGGGCATCCTGCTGGCACAGAACCAAATGGTGAATGATCAATGAAGGCGAAGCAACTACCATGAGTTCGGAATCATTCGACTCAAGTAATTAACAAGTAATTACAGAGCTGTCCCAGGCGACTGATGTTCGGAAAACCATGTGCCAATTGACCAGTGGTGACAAGACTACATGTAGATCCCAAGACAGGGCCAGGTGATATTAACAGGTGTGGTCTGCAAAAGAAAAGCCAGCCACCTACAAATTCAAAATACTGTGTCATTTATCAAATATTTTGGTATATGTTAAGGGAGCACAGGTGTTCTTAAGTGTAAAATTTCCTTTTCCTAGATTCTAATACCTAGAGGGCTTGCACAGAATAAATGTAGAGAATGAATGCAGTGTATAGATTTTTGAGTTTGGTAACGTTAATTTAGACGCTTAACTTCCGTGTCTCACAAGTTACCAACTTGACTTCTAGCTAGAGCAGTTTATAAGGTCTCTGAACTCCTCAGGTCAGGTGAATGTCTTTTATATATACCTAGAGAGAGAGAGATGAGACAGGGTCTCGCTATATTGCCCAGGCTGGTCTCCAACTCCTGGGCTGAAGTGATTCTCCTGCCTTGGCCTCTCAAAGTGCTGTGTTTACAGGCGTGAGCCACCACACCCGCCATGATCAGGTGAATGTCTGTAATTAAAGAATGTGAACTACTTCCAAGAAACAGGCTTGAAATTGTCCCATGCCCTTAAAACAGTAGAAATACTTTCCTTCAGGCGTGGTAGTTCATGCCTATAATCTCAGCACTTTGGGAGGTCGAGGAGGGAGGATGGCTTGAGTCCAGGAGTTTGACAACAGCCTGGGCAACATAGGGAGATCCCACCTCTACAAAAAATGAACAAAATTAGCCGGGCAGGGCTGGGCACAGTGGCTCACGCCTGTAACCCCAACACTTTGGGAGGCCAAGGCGGGCGGATCACCTGAGGTCGGGAGTTCAAGACCGGCCTGACCCACATGGAGAAACCCCGTCTCCACTAAAAATACAAAATTAGCCGGGCGGGGTGGTGCATGCCTGTAATCCCAGCTACTCGGAGGCTGAGGCAGGAGAATTGCTTGAACCAGGGAGGCAGAGGTTGCGGTGAGCCGAGATCGCGCCATTGCACTCCAGCCTGGGCAACAAGAGTGAAACTCTGTCTCAAAAAAAAAAAAAGAAAATTAACCGGGCATGGTGGCCCACACCTGTAGTCCCAGATAACTGGGGGACTGAGGCGGGAGGATTATTTAAGCCCGGGAGGTCAAGGCTGCGGTGAGCCCTGATTGTGCCATTGCAATTCCAGCCTGGGTAACAGAGTAAGACCCTATCTTAAAAAAAAAAAAAAAAAAAAAATTTCATTTCGCAGGGACAGGTACTCTCCTCCTCCCACTCCACTTGCTAGGCTGTGGCCATAGAAAGAGGAATAAATCATCACCCATGCTCTCAAGTTGTTCACAGTTTAGGGGAGATAAAGAAAGACAGGACTACTTCTAGAGTATAGAGAAGATGGCAAGTGTAAAACAGACATAAACAGCATGCCTCAGAAAGGAGGACAAGTTTGACTAGGAACAGGAAGAAAGGTGTTAGGAGGTGATCCTGTAGAGCTGGATTGTTTTACAGAGCAAAATATGAATAGGTGAAGAAGCCCATTTTAGGAAGAGAAAGTGAAGGAAGATAGGGATATGCAAAAATGTATTTGGTAAACAATAGTCCATAGAGACCAGGTGCAGTGGCTCACTCCTTTGATCCCAGCACTTTGGGAAGCTGAGGTGGGAGGATCACTTGAGGTCAGTAGTTTGACACCAGCCTAGGCAACATGGCAAGACCCTGACTCTACAAAAATATTTTCTAAAAAATTAGGTGGGGGGCTGGTGCAGTGGCTCATGCCTGTAATCCCAGCACTTTGGGAGGCCAAGGCTGGTGGATCACTTGAGGTCAGGAGTTTGAGACCAGCCTGGCCAACATGGTGAAACCCCATCTCTACTGAAAATACAAAAATTAGCCAGGCATGGTGGCAGGTGCCTGTAATCCCAGCTACACGGGAGGCTGAGGCAGGAGAATGGCTTGAACCTGGGAGGTGGCAGTTGCAGTGAGCCAACATTGTGCCTCTGCACTCCAGCCTGGGCAATAGAGCTAGACTCAGACTAAAAATAAAGAAAAATAAAAAAATTAGCTGAGTGTGATGGCACATGCCTGTAGCCCTAGCTACTTTTAAGGCTGAGGTGGGAGGATTGCTTGAGCCCAGGAGTTAGAGGTTACGGGGTGCTACGATTGTACCACTGCACTCCAGCCTGAGCAGCAGAGTAAGACCTTGTCTCAAACAGTAAAAATTAAAAAATGAAAAAAAAAACCAAAAAACAATAGCATATAGCATAGAGTAGCAAGGGTGATTGGAAATGGGATTACAAAGGGAGGATAGGATTAGGTTGTAAATCCTTGAATACCAAAGGGATTTAATTTTGTAGGCAGTGGGAGCCATGGAAGGCTTTTAGGCTAGGGAGTGACACCATCAGAACTGTGTTTTAGAAAGATAACTGGGAAAGAAATCAAAGACGATTGTCAGAGGTCAGAGAGTGAAGGCTAGGTAAATAATTAGAAGATTATTGCAGTCATCAGGTGAGAAACAATGACAGCCTGAACTAGGACCTTGGTTCTGGGGGATTGGAAGCGGGGGATAGATTTGAATGAAATTTTGGAACTAGGAAAAAATTAAAATGTTTCATTTGAATTCATAGGACTGCAGGCAAATATTAGTCTGTTCCTGGTTAGAACAAACTTGTGTCTAATTTCTTTTTTTTTTTTTCTTTTTTGAGACGGAGCCTTGCTCTGTCACCAGGCTGGAGCATGGTGGTGTGATCTCAGCTCACTGCAACCTCTGCCTCCTGGGTTCAAGCGATTCTCCTGCCTCAGCCTCCTGAGTAGCTGGGACTACAGATGCCTGCCACCACACCCAGCTAAT
The DNA here is from genome assembly GCF_000001405.40 of Homo sapiens. Classification (NCBI taxonomy): domain Eukaryota; kingdom Metazoa; phylum Chordata; class Mammalia; order Primates; family Hominidae; genus Homo; species Homo sapiens. The sequence goes on from NW_018654721.1 coordinate 67,330, forward strand.
TTTTTGTATTTTTAGTACAGACAGGGTTTCACTGTGTTAGCCAGGATGGTCTCAATCTCTTGACCTCGTGATCCGCCTGCCTTGGCCTCCCAAAGTGCTGGGATTACAGGCATGAGCCACCGAGCCTGGCCAACCCTTGTATCTAATATTGAAGCATTAGCAATGTAGTGAAGGAGAGAAAACATGAGAAAAAGATACAAATATATTCAAAGAAGGTGTAAAGCCAGGTATACTAAACAGCTCTGGAAAAATGAGACATAAAGTAATCACTCTGTGGAGTAAGCAGAGAGGTGGCATTGGATTCTCTATGAATGGTTCTGTGAAACAGATGATTCGTTGGCATTTGAAGACAAGGAGCATCTTGGTTTATAGAGAGAAGGGGAGAACAGCATCAGGCTGAGGGATTGTGTATGTGCTTTTCTGTCAAAATAATTTGATTACAAGGGAATTATTCAGATTCATCTGAGGAATTTCCTGGTCTAGGGTCTGTTTATCCCAGAGATGGCAGAGGAAGAGGAAAGTATGTAAAACAAAGTAGAGGTGATCATTAGATCCCATGGCTGCATTATGAGTCCTTTAGCGCTGGTATATTTTGTCAGAATGCAATATCCCCTTTAACAGTAATGGGAACAAAGGTGATGGAGAAATGGAAATTTGACCTATAACTGCACTAAACAGGAAAAATAATACAAGCTGACAAAACTTGAAGGAGCTGACACTGGTGCAATAAATCATTGTTAATGAGAGGGACAAGGTCTTACCTACATACCAAAGAGCCATGGTATAAAGAATAGTAGTTTTGGTGGTTTCTACCCACATTCCCTCTGAAATTTTCCTAATAGAATATCTTAAAATTTAATAGAAATTTAACTATAGGCCAGGCACAGTGGGTCATGCCTGTAATCCCAAAATTTTGGGAGGCCAAGGCAGGAGGATTGCTTGAGGCCAGGAGGTCAAGACCAGCCTGGGCAATGTGGTGAGACCCTGCCTCTAAGAAAAAGAAAAAAGTAAAAAGAAAACAAAAAAATTTAACTATATTAAAAGATTCAAATATAAACATTCTATGGCAAGTATTTTTATCACAAAGCATACAATTTTAATTTTTTAAATTTTTGTTTATTTTCTGCATTCTCTCAGAATGTGAATAAACATTTTTTTGAAGAAAAAATATTGCTGCCAAGTAGGGATATACTACCTGGGTATGATTCAGTGTCTTTCCTGCAAAGCCAAATAAAGATATCGTGTGATATGAGAACTGTATCATATCCATGCTTCATAATTAACATGTTGATTTTCTTATATCCTTCTCTGTACTTGACTTTATTTTTATTTTTATTTTTATTTGAGATGGAGTCTTGCTCTTTCGCCCAGGCTGGAGTGCAGTGGCGTGATCTCGGCTCACTGCAACCTCTACCTCCTGGGTTCAAGCAATTCTCCTGCCTCAGCCTCCCGAGTAGCTGGGATTACAGGCATGTGCCACCACGCCTGGCTAATTTTTGTATTTTTAGCAGAGACGGGGTTTCACCATGTTGGCCAGGCTGGTCTTGAACTCCTGACCTCATGATCCACCCACCTTGGCCTCCCAAAGTACTGGGATTTTAGGTGTGAGCCACCTGGCCCAGCCCTGAGTTTAATTTTATACATTACTAAAATATTTTTTTGACACAGATATTCTATAAAGGTAAAATGTTGCTGTCATTTCTAATGGAACTTTCATAAAAGTAGTAAGGAAACAATATGCAGTCTTAGCCTTGGACATTTTACCTTCCATAGGCAAATTAAGTTTGTACTTTATTATATTGGATTGAGATAAATCACTGATTCAGCTACTTTTACAATGAGGTCAAAGAACTTTATCTTTAGAAATATACATTCTAAGTAATTTACGTTCACAACTATTTTACTTAAAATTATAATATTCATTTTAAACTGAATATTTATTGCCATTAACTTGTTTTCTTTTGCCTATCTGGAACCTAGTTTAATTTTTTATTGTTAAATGATAAAATGTATATATATTGCAAACTATTTGCCATAAATTGTTAACATTATAGAATTTTTTTTTCTTTGAGACAGAGTCTTGCTCTGTCACCAGGTTGGAGTGCAGTGGTGCAATCTTGGCTCACTGCAATCTCCACCTCCTGGGTTCAACCGATTCTCCTGCCTCAGCTTCCCAAGTAGCTGGGATTACAGGCATGCGCCATCACACCCAGCTAATTTTTGTATTTTTAGTACAGATGGGGTTTCACTGTGTTGGCCAGAATGGTCTCGATCTCCTGACCTCATGATCCACCCACCTTGGCCTCCCAAAGTGTTGGGATTACAGGCATGAGCTACCGTGCCCGGCCCATTATAGAATTTTTTTATTTTTATTTTTTTAGGGACCAGGTCTCACTATGTTGCCCAGGCTGGTCTTGAACTCCTGGCCTCAAGCAATCCTCCTGCCTCACCCTCCCAAGTAGCTGGGATTACAGGTGCAAGCCATGGTACTCGGCTATTACTAGAATATTTGTGATATGTTGATATCAGTAACAGTACATTATGGGCATCAATAAATATTCATTATGAGTATGTTATTTTTGAAAAATTAAACCTATGTTAATTAAATTCTTTATATATACACCTAATGATTTTATCCTGCATCTTTGATTAGTTTTATTGTATTTCTCAAAAATAGGATTTCTTCTGAATTCTCAAAAATCTCTGTGATAGCACAAATGTAAATAAAATGTGTGATGTATATTAATAAAATTTTATCATTAATGGTTAACGAGTTTTCTGCCTTCTAAGGTTTTTATGCCTCAACGTTTGAATCACCTTCTCCCAAGGTAAAATTCTAAGGGAAACTTACACAGAAATTGTCTAAAAGTATCCCAGGCAAAAAGCAAAATTAGAACAAAATAAATGAATGATAATAAATGGCCCATCACCCACTTTATTTCTAGCCCACATAGGCTGAGCTGACCGTGGAATTCTTCCTTATCGTAGAGACCATTTATACTCAGTTTTCCTTTCCCCGAACTCTGTAATATTTTTTTTAAATTACTCCCTAAGACTTTTTTCCTCTTTCTTTGTTAACAATTCTCTTCTCAGTCCTACTTTTCTTGCTCTTAAAATCTGATTGGGCTGGGCATGGCAGCTCACACTTGTAATTCCAGCACTTTGGGAGGCCGAGGTGGGCGGATCACCTGAGATCGGGAGTTCAAGACCAGCCTAACATGGAGAAACCCCCGTCTCTACTAAAAATACAAAATTAGCCGGACGTGGTGCCACATGCCTGTAATCCCAGCTACTCGGGAGACAGAAGAAAAAGGAGAAGAAGTCTTTTATGTTAGGTGAGGAAGGGGATACCCAAACAGAGGAAACTCAGCCTTCAGAAACAAAAGAAGTGGAGCCAGAGCCAACTGAGGACAAAGACTTGGAAGCTGAAGAAGAGGACAGCAGGAAAAAATATGCTCCTGATGATCGAGATGACTTGAACTTCTTTAATCAAAAGAAAAAAGAAAAAAACTGAAAAGATATTTGATATTGATGAAGCTGAAGAAGGTGTAAAGGATCTTCAGATTGAAAGTAATGTTCGAGAATCAGCTGAACCAGAGGATGACCTTGACATTATGCTTGGCAATAAAAAGTAGAAAAAGAGGATCAAGTTCTCAGATGAGGATGAAATACTAGAGAAAGATGAAGCTCTAGAAGATGAAGACAGAAAAAATCATGATGGTGTCTCATTCAGTAATCAGGCCCTGCTTGGGCAGGCTCAGAAAGAGACTACACATATAAGGAGCTAATGAATCGAGTGTTCAACATCATGACGGAAAAGAATCTAGATATGGTTGCTGGGGAGAAAAGGAAATTTGTCATGAAACCTCCACAGGTCGTACAAGTAGGAACCAAGAAAACTTCCTTATTTTTTTGAGACGGAGTCTGGCTCTGCCGCCCAGGCAGGAGTGCAGTGGCGCGATCTCGGCTCACTGCAAGCTCCGCCTCCCGGGTTCACACCATTCTCCTGCCTCAGCCTCCCGAGTAGCTGGGACTACAGGCACCCGCCACTACCCCCGGCTAATTTTTTGTATTTTTAGCAGAGACGGGGTTTCATCGTGTTAGCCAGGATGGTCTTGATCTCCTGACCTCGTGATCTGCCCGCCTCGGCCTCCCAAAGTGCTGGGATTACAGACGTGAGCCACCATGCTCAGCAGAAAACTTCTTTTGTCAACTTTACAGATACCTATTAACTATTACATCGTCAGCCCAAACATCTTGCATTTTCGTTGGCTGAATTGGGTACAAGTGGTTCTATAGATGGTAATAATCAACTTGTAATCAAAAAAAGATTCCAACAGAAATAGAGAAAATGTCTTGAGAAGATATATCAAGGAATATGTCACTTGTCACACATGTCAATCACCAGACACAATCCTACAGAAGGACACACGACTCTATTTCCTACAGTGCAAAACTTGTCATTCTAGATGTTCTGTTGCCAGTATCAAAACCCGCTTCCAGGTTGTCACTGGCAAGCGAGCACAGCTCCGTGCCAAAGCTAACTAATTTGCTAATCACTGACTTTGCAAAGCATGTTGTGGAGATGTGGCTGGACAGGTTTGCCATTAGAGTGGATATACCATTGTATTAAAAACAAGATAAAAAAGCTGCCAAGTTGTTTGGAGAGTGGTTGGTTGGTCTGAAATCCTTGCAAGACGCTGATGCTGAAGCTGTTGACATACTCCTTGCCTACTTTAACAACTATCAGAGAAACGTGCTATGGGATAAGGAGGTGCTTTTTTAAAATTGTTCATAGACTTCTGTAAAATGCAAGATAAATTAAAGTTATTATAACAGTGAAAAAAATCTGATTGATGCCTTTTTCCCCCCAACAATGATTGGAAATATAGATGTCGTACTGGTTCGAAATATTTTTTTTTTAAGTTCTCAGGTCTTGAAATCTCCAATCCCATCTGCACATTCACCATTTAGACATCTTGGTAAGTGTTGACTTGCCCCTAATATTTTGATGTTTATAGTAATGAATATACTAGTGTAAATTCTCAATCAGAATGGAATATTCTAAGTGCTACAACTCTTTTAGAATTTGCCCATCAGACTTTACGGTGCTTACCAGAAAGCTCCCCTGGCCACCCTGCAAAAAAGAGAATGGAATATTCTAGTTAATTAAATTTCCTGAAGAATGTAAACTTTTAATACACTTTAGTCCTTGGTGAAAATCATTTATAAAATGTGTTTAATATATTTTTGAATACCTATTTTCATAAGTATACTAGAATTTGCAGCCCTTTTGCATATTTTTTGTTTTATTTGTGTATTTATTTATTTATTTATTTTTATAGAGACAGCGTTTCACCATGTTACCCAGGCTGGTCTCCAACTCCTGAGCTCAAGCCATCCACCAGCCTCTGCCTCCCAAAGTGGTGGGATTACAGGCGTGAGCCACCAAACACGACCCATCTTAACCTTTTTAACAACCTATCATTTTTGTGTGTAGATATTTGAGGACTTTCATGACTTTTAAGATCAAGATGAGAAATAGACTCAAAGATTTGTGGAGCTGGAAGGGGCTTAGAGGCCATCTTCTTAATTTCCTCATTTTATGAGAGTCACTCAGTTTATTATGTGGTATTTGCTGACTGTGCTACGTTCTTGGAGATGCAATGTTAATAAGACATAGCTCCTGCTTTCAAGATGCTTGTGTCAAATAGTCTTTGAGAGTGCTATCCTTCTTCTAGGTTCCAGATTAGATTGGGTGTTGTGTTTTTAGCTTTCCTTCTCTGAATTCTCTCACCCATTCTTCATTCCTACTGCTACCCTAACCTAAGTTCAATTAAGAAAAGGAAGGAGTATTCTAGGAAGTGATTCAAGATTTCTTTGTTATAAAGTGAGATTTCAGAAGTCATAGTTGAATCTGTACAAGAAACCTATAATGGCTGCTTCAAGTAGAACAAATTCTATGTTTAGCTTTTTGGTCCATCATAATCACTTCCTACCCTAGCAATTCATGCTTATTTCCTATGGGAACAAGGACCCAGCCTTGTCCTCCAGTCAGACTTGTCTTTTCATTCATAGACTAACAACATCACTAACTCAAGGCGCCTTTCCTCTACCTGGAATAATGGCTTTCTATCCTACCTAACTTTATCATCCCCCGTATTTAAGATTTATATTTTTCATATAATACTGAAGAAAATTGGCACCTGTGATGATCTTGCTAGAACTCTCTGGAATGCATTCCTCTGGTAACCACAGATTGGGTTCCCACCCTCTGCTGGGCCAGGGAGTGGGTTCCCTGAGATTTTTGTACTTTCAGACAGTGAGAGATTGAGGTGGTTTCTCTCCAATGGTTAAACCTTTTAAATCTAAACTTAGAAACACAGCAGACATATGTCCTACCTTTAGAGAAAGCTGGTTAGTGATGAGAGAAAGTGAAACTGCCATACCGAAAACAACAGAAACAAGACTTGGAAAGACTCCTAACAAGGTTTGGGCCCCTTGTTTCACCTCTGCAGCCCTGCCTTTTGTTTGTTTGTTTTTTGTTTTGTTTTGTTTTGTTTTGTTTTTGAGACAAGGTCTCACTCTGTCACCCAGGCTGGGGTGCAGTGGCTTGATCATGGCTCACTGTAGCATCAACCTTCCAGGCTCAATGGATCCTCCCATTAGGCACACACCATCATACCCAGCTAAGTTTTGTATTTTTCATGGAGACAGGGTTTCATCATATTGCCCAAGCTGGTCTCAAACTCCTGGGCAAGTGCTGGAATTACAGCCTTCCCACCTCAGCCTCCTCAGGTGCTGGAATGACAGACGTGAGCCACCATGCCCAGGCTAGCCGTGCCTTTTTGAGATGGAGTCTGACTCTGTTGCCCAGGCTGGAGTGCAGTGTTGTGATCTCGGCTCACTGCAACCTCCATCTCATGGGTTCAAGTGATTCTCCTGCCTCAGCCTCCCCAGTAGCTGGGATTACAGGTGCCCAACACCTCGCCTGGCTAATTTTTGTGTTTTTAGTAGAGATGGGGTTTCTCCATGTTGGCCAGGCTGGTCTTGAACTCCTGACCTCAGGTGATCCGCCCGCCTCGGCCTCCCAAAGTGCTGGGATTACAGGCGTGAGCTGCCGTGCCAGCAGCCCTGCCATTTTTGACACCTGCTTGTTCAATCCTTCCTTGGATTTCATGAGCCAATAAATCCCCCTCTCAATTTAGATTTGTTTGAGTTGAGTTTCTGTTATTTTCTTTTTTTTTTTTTTGAGATGGAGTCTCAGTCTGTCACCCAGACTGGAGTACAAAGGCGTGATCTCGGCTCACCACAACCTCTGCCTCCAGGGCTCAAGCAATTCTCCTGCCTCAGCCTCCGGAGTAGCTGGGATTACAGGCATGTGCCACCATGCCCAGCTAATTTTGTATTTTTAGTAGAGACGGGGTTTCTCCATGTTGGTCAGACTAGTCTCGAACTCCCGACCTCGGGTGATCGGCCCACCTTGGCCTCCCAAAGTGCTGGGATTACAGGCGTGAGCCACAGTGCCCGGCTGAGTTTCTGTTATTTTCTAATAAAATGTAATCACACAAGTGGTTAGAGGCAGAATTAGAACCAGAAGCCAGATCTGATTGTCAGTGTACAGTGTTGTCAAAAAACTATACTGCTCTGTGTGTGTGTGTGTGTGTGTGTGTGTGTGTGTGTGTGTGTGTGTGTGACGGGGTCTCTCTCACTCTGTCACCCAGGCTGGAGTGCAGTGGTGCTATCTCGGTCCATTGCAACCTCCACCTCCCAGGTTCAAGGGATCCTCCCACCTCACCCTCCCAAATAGCTGAGACCACAGGCACCTGCCACCATTCCTAGCTGATTTTTTGTGTTTTTTGGTAGAGACAGGGTTTCACCATGTTGCCTAGGCTGGTCTCAAACTCCTGTCTCAGGTGATCCACTGGCCTTAGCCTCCCAAAGTACTGGGATTACAGGTGTGAGCCATGGTGCCCGGCCAATACTGCTATGTCTCAGAGGCAAGGGCCCGACCTGATGTTCTAATTTTTAAAAAGTTTTTACTAACATAGTGCTGGGAGCAAAACAGACACTGATGGGTTATACTACAAGTGTATATAGTACACTGGTATGTACTATATACAAACACTATCTTGAATCAGAAAAGCTAGGTTTGTAGCCAGACATGGTGGCTCACACCTGTAATCCCAGCTACTGAGGCTGAGGCAGGAGAATCACTTGAACCCAGGAGACAGAGGTTGCAGTGAGCTGAGAGCATGCCACTGCACCCCATTCCTCTATGATCTTAGGCAAATAAATCATGTACAGTCTCAGAGGTATTATATAACTCTTCACTGCAAAATAGGAAGAATAATTGTCCTCTCTGCCTTGTAGGATTATGGAAAAAGGCTAAAATGACATTATCTATGTTAAAACTTCTTAGACTATAATGTGAATTAACAACCACACACATATAATCATAGTAGTTGTAGGAAATTGGACTGAGAGTATGCTAAGAACAGAATATACCTTGGAAACTGTATTTGAAGTACTGAATCTGATGTCTTACTGTGATCTTAACATCTTAACCATTCAAATGTCCACCACTACCTCAAGCTCAACATCTCCAGACAGAATGCGTTCTCTTCTGCATACCTCTGCCTCTGTTTGCCACCCCTCAAATATCTTTTCCACACTGCTTTCAAAACTGCTTTCTGAAAAGCAAACTTGCTCACAGTTCTACCCTGCTTAATACCCTTCCATGTTTCCCCTCGCCTTAAAGATGAAATTCTGATTTTTTTTGGCTTTCATGAAGGACTAAATTTAGGTTTCTCAAGATACCTGAGGAACAGCAGGTACTTGGGGTCTAATTTACAAAGAACATTGATTTCACAGAGGCTGTTTGGCTACCCACCTCACTTTTAAATATGTATATACAGGGTTTTGCCTTGTTGCCAAGGCCAGAGTGTAGTGGCTATTCATAGGCCAATCACAGGGCACTGAAGCCTCAAACTCCTGGACCCAAGCAATCCTTCTGCCTAGGCCTCCTGAGCAGCTGGGTGACAGGTGCACACAACAGTGCCTGGCTTTCACCTGTATTTTTGTACTTTTTGTTTTCCTGACCAAAGCCATGAGGTATGCAAGCTGAGGGAAGCCAGGTGATAACGAGGCCTCACATGTGAGGTCTTCATCATCCTGCTCCCACCTGCCTTTCTTACCACTGTGCTGTATCCAGTTATTCTCACCCGATGTTCAATTATTCTGAAATGAAGTTCCCTGAATATTCCATGCTCTGTGTGTTCAGACTATTTCTCTGTATATATATACGTGTGTGTGTGTGTGTGTGTGTGTATACACACATACACACACACACACACATATGTATAATTTGGAGGGTAGATGTTCAGATTTGCTACATGGGTATACTATACTGCATGATGCTGAGATTTGGGGTACAACTGATCCCATCACCCAGGTAGTGAGCATAGTACTCATTAGTTTTCAGCCCTTCCTCTTCACCTTTTGGGGTCCCCAGTGTCTGTTGTTTCCATCTTTATGTCCATGTGTACTCAAAGTTTAGCTCCTACTTATAAGTGAGAACATGCAGTATTTGTGTTTTTCTGTGTTAATTTGCTTAGGTAATGGCCTCCAGCTGCATCCGTGTTGCCTCAAAGGACATTATTTCATTCTTTTTTATGGCTGCGATTTCTCTGTCTTGAACTCGCTTCCTTCCATTTCTCACCTGGGTGAGTCCTTCAAGACTGTCTTCTATATTAGTTCATGAGTTAGTCGAAGACAGGAACTGTGTCCTTGATTTCTATATTTCTGACCCAGAAATTTTTGTTTTTGTTGTTTGTTTGTTTTGAGATGGAGTTTCACTCTTGTTGCCCAGGCTGGAGTGCAATGGCGCCATCTCGGCTTACCGCAACCTCCGCCTCCCGGGTTCAAGAGATTCTCCTGCCTCACCCTCCCAAGTAGCTGGGAGTACAGGCATGCACTACCACACCTGGCTAATTTTGTATTTTTAGTAGAGACAGGGTTTCTCCATGTTGGTCAGGCTGATCTCGAACTCCCGACCTCAGATGTTCCGCCTGCCTCGGCCTCCCAAAGTGCTGGGATTACAGGCATGAGCCACCACGCCCGGCCCAGAAATGTTTATTGAATAAACATCAGTGAATAAACTTTAGAAGTCCATTCTCATACAACTCCCCTGCAAAGATATTGAAGCCTGAAGGATGATTAAAACTTGTTTGAACCTGATTATTTGACACTGCTCTTTCCCAGGACAGCTCTTCTCTGGTCCTTATATGAATCTTTGAGGAGATCTGATGATCCTAGAGATGCCACAGGTTCTGGTCAAACCAGTATGTTCAGTAGCTGTTTGATAATCAATTCTTTGGAATTATTTCACTTAAATGATCGCTAGAAAACAACAAGAAAGTGAAGCTTTCTCTTTTTGGATAGCCAATTTTAATAATGAAGGTAACTTTATTGGTATTTATGTGACATGTACTATCTGATGTGCCTTGCAGAGAGTAACCAACTTAATCCTCACAACTATGTGGTAGATTTTCTTTCTATCCTCATCCCACATATGAAAATTTGAGGTACAGAAACATTAAAGAATATATTCAAGGTCATCTAGTAGCTAGTAGAGCCAGAACTCAGAAACTAGAGTCCACACTCATATGTAGTATGCTGTGTTGACTCCCAAGAACTCTTTCTTTAAAAAATATATATATTTTATATTTATAACTTATAATTTATATATATTTTATATTTATATTGTTAAATTATATTATGTATTTCTTTCTTTTTTTTTTTTTTTTGAGATGGAGTCTCGCTCTGTCACCCAGGCTGGAGTGCAGTGGCACGATCTCAGCTCACTGCCTCCTCCGCCTTCCGGGTTCAAGGGATTCTCCTGCCTCAGCCTCCTGAGTAGCTGGGACTACAGGCACACCCCATCACGCCTGGCTACTTTTTTGTATTTTTAGTAGAGACAGGGTTTTACCATGTTAGGCAGGATGGTCTCAATCTCTTGACCTCGTGGTCCACCCGCCTTGGCCTCCCAAAGTGCTGGGATTATAGGCGTGAGCCACCACGCCTCGCCCTTATAATTTTATAAAAATAGACAGGGTCTCACTATGCTGCCCAGGCTGGTCTCAAACCCTTGGGTTCAAGTGATACACCCGCCTTGGCCTCCCAAAGTGCTGGGATTATAGGCGTAAGCCACCACGCCTGGCCCTTATAATTTTATAAAAATAGACAGGGTCTCACTATGCTGCCCAGGCTGGTCTCAAACCCTTGGGTTCAAGTGATACACCCACCTTGGCCTCCCAAAGTGCTGGGATTGCAGGCATGAGTCACCAAGCTTGGCCAACTCCCGAGAACTCTTAAGAGTACCTGTTCGATATTTTCTATTCACTTGTAACCATTATTTTAGGAAATTCCATCTTCTGCCTTACAGCAAACAACATTCAACTGACTTCTGAGTCCTGAACTATCACATTATATTTAGTTTAGATATAATAAACATATGACATATGTTACACAAAATGTTATGTGAGGCCAAAAAGGAAATTGTTTTCCATTCATTTTAATGAAAAGAACAAATATTGGCCGGGCGTGGTGACTCACACCTGTAATCCCAGCACTTTGGGAGGCTGAGGAGGGCGGATCACAAGGTCAAGAGATCAAGACCATCCTGGCTAACACGGTGAAACCCCATCTCTACTAAAAATACAAAAAAAATTAGCCGGGCATGGTGGCGGGTGCCTATAGTCCCAGCTACTTGGGAGGCTGAGGCAGGAGAATGGCGTGAACCGGGGAGGCAGAGCTTGCAGTGAGCCGAGATTGCACCACTGCACTCCAGCCTGGGTGACAGAGAGACTCCGTCTCAAAAAAAAAAAAAAAAAAAAAAAGAACAAATATTGAATGCTTACCAAATGCAAGGTGTTAGGGTAAGGGCTAGAGAAGACACAGAGAGGAATAAGACACTGTCTTGCCCTCAAGAAGCTCATAATCAGAAGGGCAGATTAAAAATACATACGGCATACTGTAATGAAAAACAATTGTGTTAAAACTTTAAGGGAATGGGCCAGGTGCAGTGGCTCATGCCTGTAATTCCAGCATTTTGGGAGGCTGAGGTGGGAGGATCGCTTGAGCCCAGGAGTTTGAGACCAGCCTGAACAACATAGTGAGACCCTGTCTCAAAAAAAGAAAAAAAAAAAAAAGAGAGAGAGAAAGAAAAAAGCTTTAATGGAAGTACAGCCACAGTATCAGAATAATAATAGAATAATCAAAGAGATTATTTCCCAAACAGGGAAGAAATAGCATTTGTGTTGAATAGAAATTCAAAGGGGTAAATTTGGGGTGTTTTTATTGTTGTTGTTGTTTTTTGAGACAGAGTCTCACTCTGTCGCCGAGGCTGGAATGCAGTGGCACGATCTCGGCTCACTGCAACCTTCGCCTCCTGGGTTCAAGCAATTATCTTGCCTCAGCCTCCCTGTTAGCTGAGATTACAGGCACTCACCACCAAGCCCAGCTAATTTTTGTATTTCAGTAGAAACGGGGTTTCACCATGTTGGCCAGGCTGGTCTCGAACTCCTGATCTCAAGCAAACTACCCGCCTCCACCTCCCAAAGTGCTGGGATTAAAGGCATGAGCTACGGTGCCTGGCCCAGAGGGGGAAATTTTGGAAGCAAACCATTCAAGACACAGAAAAGGAGAATGAGCGAACATAGTGTTGAAGTCGTTAGAATCATTATGGGATCACTTGTCTTAAAAAACAAAACAGGCCAGGCGCGGTGGCTTAGCCTGGCCAACAGGGCAAAACCCCATCTCTACTAAAAATACAAAAATTAGCCGGGTATAGTGGCACATGCCTGTGATCCCAGCTACTTAAGAGGCTGAGGCAGGAGAATCACTTGAACCCAGGAGACAGAGGTTGCAGTGAGCTGAGATTATGCCATTGCACTCCAGCCTGGGCGACAGAGTGAGACTCTGTCTCAAAATAAAATAAATCAAAACAAAACAGCCAGGCATGATGGCTCATGCCTGTAATCCCAGCATTTTGCGGAGCCGAGGCAAATGGATGGCTTGAGCTCAGGAGTTCGAGACCAGTCTGGGCAACATGGTGAAACCCCATCTCTACCAAAATACAAAAAAATTAGCCAGACATGGTGGTGAGCATCTGTGGTCTCAGTTACTCAAGAGGCTGAGATGGGAGAATTGCTTGAGCTCAGGAGGCAGAGGTTGCAGGGAGGCGAGATCACACCACTACGCTCCAGCCTGGGTGACAGAGTGGCACCCCATCTCAAAATAAAATAAATTTAAAAAATTAAGAACAAAAACCTTTTCCAAGCACAGCTGTGTTAAAAACAAAACAAAACAAACAAACAAACAAAAAGTTTGTCTTCCTTTACCTCCTTGAATATGCATCATTTACTATGGCACATTGCAATGTCCTATTCCCAAATAAATATAATTTTTGTTTAGAGAGCCTCTGTTAATTAGGGTAACAATGGTGAGACTAGAAATAGCTAGGTAGGTTTGTAGGTTTTTAAAACAGCTGAAAGTGTTCATTAGAGAATGAAGAGATGAGGTTAAACCTCACTGTGGAAAAATTTAAAATCGATGCTACAAAATTGTACTTTATTCTTTGGCAACAGAGAGCTACAAAAAGGAACAAAAAGAGGACAAAAGAATGCTGGGATTGGAATAGTAATCTTTAGGAAGACTAATTTGCTAGTAATAAGAAAAATTAGGCCAGGTGCGGTGGCTCACCCCTGTAATCCCAACACTTTGGGAGGCCGAGGAGGGAGGATCACCTGAGGTTAGGAGTTCCAGACCAGCCTGGCCAATATGGTGAAACCCCATCTCTACTAAAAATACAAAAATTAGCCAGGCGTGGTGGCAGACGTCTGTAATCTCAGCTACTTGGGAGGCTGAGGCAGGAGAATTGCTTGAACTCAGTAGGTGAAGGTTGCAGTGAGCCGAGATCGCACCATTGCACTGTAGCCTGAGCAACAAGAAAAAAAAAGAAAGAAAGAGAAGAGAGAGAGGAGAGAGAAGAGAGAGAGAAAGAAAAAGAGAGAAAGAAAGAAAGAGAGAGGAAGGAAGGAAGGAAGGAGGGAGGGAGGAAGGGAGGAAGGAAGGAGAAATTAACTAAGATGGGAGCTGAGGAATCTAGATAGTAATGTAATGGGGAAAGATGAGGTTATTAAGGTCCTGAACAAGAGGAGTGGCAAGGGATAGGAGAGGCAGAGGTAGGGTATTCAGAAAATATCTCCTGTTAGAATAAAATAATATAAAATCAATTTTTAGAATTCTACATACAAAGATAGACTATGCCAACTAAAAACCAAATCCAACAGAATTATTATGGTGGGGAGAGGACTGCTGCAGTCCTCCCTCAGTATCCATGGGGGATTGGTTCCAGTACCCCCTCCCAACTGCCCTCATACCTTGTAATCGCCCACTGCACAGACAAAATCAATTCACTGAGACTGCAGCAGTGCAGTAGAGAAAGAATATAATTGACACAAGGCTGACCCATATGGGAAAAAACTGGAGTTACCACTCAAATCAGTCAGTCTCTCAGAAGGCTCAGAGGCTGTGGTTTTTATGGACAATTTGGTGGGCAGTGGGGGCTAGGGAATGGGTGCTGCTGACTTGTTGTGGATGAAATCATAGGTGTAAGGAACACTGTCCTCATGCACTGAGTCCACCTCTGGATAGGGCCACAGGAGCAGTTGAGTCATGAGTCACAAGTACAGGTGGGGTCCGTCTGAAAAACATCTAAAAATAAAACCAATCTGAGGTTCTACAGTAGTGATGTTATCTATAGGAGCAATTGGGGAAGTCACAAATCTTGTGACCTCTGGCCACGTGACTCCTGAGCAGCAGGGGGTTGGAAACTACGCCTACATTTTAGCAGAGTTCAAGCATAGCAGAGTTCAAGCCCCTCCCATGATCCTATTCTTGTGGCCTTTCATTAGTCTTACAAAGGTAGGTTTTGGTCCCTGAGCAAGGAGGGCGTTAGTTTTAGGGGAAGGATTACTACTGTCCTTGCTTTCAAGTTAAAGTATAAACCAAATTCTTCTCGAAGTTAGCTTGGCCCATGTCCAGGAGGCGACCTTGGTGTCAGAAGCAAGATTGAGTCGACTATGTCAGATTTCTCTTACTGTCATAGTTTTGAAAAAGTTGGTTTCACACTAAAAGCTGCAGATGCTGAAGTCTGTGATATAAAATGGTGTAGTATTCACATATAACTTACACACATCCTCATGTACTTTAAACCATTGCTCGTTTACTATAATGCCGAATACAATGGAAATGCTATGAAAATAGCTGTTAGTTTTTTGTTTGTTTGCTTGTTTATTTGTTTTTGAGATGGAGTCTTGCTTTTTTGCCCAGGCTGGAGGGCAGTGGCATGGTCTTGGCTCACTGCAACCTCCACCTCCTGGGTTCAAGTGATTCTCCTGCCTCAGCCTCCTGAGTAGCTGGGATTACAGGCGTGCCACCACACCCAGCTAATTTTTTTGTATTTTTAGTTAGAGACGGGGTTTCACCATGTTGGCCAGGCTGGTCTCAAACTCCTGACCTCAGGTGATCTGCCCACCTCAGTCTCCCAAAGGGCTGGGATTACAGATGTGAGCCACTGCACCCGGGCTTGGTTTTTAAATTTGCATTATTTTTATCGCTGCATTGTTATTTTGTATTTTTTAAACATTTCTGATCCGTGTTTGGTTCAATCCCCGAATGCAGAACTCGCGGATACAAAGGGCCAACAGCATTGCAATAGAAACATGTGACCTTAAGACAGGTAAGTTTTCAAAAGTTAGGCAAAAAGGGTTTTTCTTTTAGAGAAAGAACTAGGCTAGAAAGAACCAGGTATGGGAAGGTGGGATAAAGGGTGGACTGATGGGAGAGTAGGTCAGATAATGCTTTACCCTGAAGGCCTCCTATCCTCAGCGAGTGCCTTTAAGGAGTGGCTTTCTGCTGGTCAGGGTCCTGGGGGAAGGAAAAAAAGAACCTTAACCAAAGTGTGGTTAAAAAACCTTTTTTTTTTTTTTTTTTTTTTTTGAGCCGGAGTCTTGCAATGTTGCTCATGCTGGAGTGCAGTGGCACAATCTTGGCTCACTGCAGCCTCCACCTCCCAGGTTCAAGTGATTCTCCTGTCTCAGCCTCCAGAGTAGCTGAGATTACAGGCGTGCCATCATGCCTGGCTAATTTTTGTATTTTTAGGAGAGACGGGGGGGTTCACCATGTTGGCCAGGCTGAAATAAACACTTTTTGTTTCTGTTGATACAGTGAGGACAAAACATTTCAGCTAGTTATTTGTGAGGAGAGGAATGGAGATTTGGACAGCCTGTGTCTGGCACTGTCATAGCTAAACAAGGTAGGCATCCCTGAGTCTTATCTAACTCATATGGGGGAGTAGCTATTTTTTTAGAACACAAAAAGATGAAGGGATTTCCTAACCTTCAGGTTAAGTTCAACATTATCAAATAAAATGGCATTATTTTCTACTCAGATTCCCATTAAGGAATAAAAGTGTTAGTATTCTTTGGGTGTCAATGGCAACACTATTTGAGTTTCATTTCAACACCCAGGTGTCATCATTCACTCTGACACACCCACATTCAGTGATAGGACAAGGACTCTAGTATTTTTACGTTTATGGAACAGAAGTGGTTGCCATATGCTAAAATTGTTGCTGAAAAGTATACCGCAAGTAGAAGAACTTAGGTTATGCAAACGGAAGATATGCTTCAAATCAGCAGTTTGAAAACTGTAGTTTTAATGTTACTAACTTAGGATAACAAGGGGAAGCAACCTTAGAGGTTTCTCAACTTAAGACTAGAAAAAGATGTTATTTTTTTCTTCTTCTTCTTTTTTTTGTTTTTTTTTTTTTTTTGAGACAGAGTCTCAGCTGCAGCCATGAGCTCTTGGGCCCAAGTAATCCTCCTACCTCAGCCTCCCAAGTAATTGGAACCACAGGTGTGCACCACTGATGCAGGAGTTAAAAAGGAATTATTTAGGCAGATAATGGGGGTAAGGAAGTCCTCCGTAAGGTTTTCCTTTTAATGAAAAGCAGCCCTGCCGGGCGCGGTGGCTCACACTTGTAATCCCAGCACTCTGGGAGGCCGAGGCGGGCGGATCATCTGAGGTCGGGGGTTTGAGACCAGCCTGACCAATGTGGAGAAAACCCGTCTCTACTAAAAATACAAAAACTTGGCCAGGCTTGGTGGCACATGCCTGTAATCCCAGCTACTCCGGAGGCTGAGGTAGGAGAATCGCTTGAACCCGGGAGGCTGAGGTTGAAGTGAGACGAGATTGCACCACTGCACTCCAGCCCAGGCAATAAGGGCAAAACTCCATCTCAAAAAAAAAAAAAAAAAAAAAAAAGGCAGCCCCAAAATAATTTTCTTTTCTAACAAACAGCAGCCTGTAAAATTGAGCTGCAGACATAGACAAGCAAGCTAGAAGCTTGCACAGGTGAATGCCAGCAGCTGTGCCAATAGGAAAAGGCTACCGGGGACTAGGCATGTTCAGAACAGTGGCTCCATGTTCCCTTCTCTTTGCCAGTCACGTGTGCAGCAAGGAGCGGACAACACGGCGCCGGCCAAGTGGAAAGTCCATTTGCATAATAAGATTAGGGTGCATTGGCCAGCCTTCCCCATGCTCTATGTAAACATCACACCTGGTATAACCAATCTGTGGTTATGTAAATCGGACACTGCCTCCTTCAGCCTGCCTATAAAATCCGGTGCACTCCCATTCCAGCCCAGAATTCCCATTCGGGGGCTCCTGTCTCTTGCAAGAGACAGAGCTGTTCTCCTTTCTCTTTCTTTATCTATTTATTTATTTATTTATTTTTATTTTTGAGACGGAGTCTCGCTCTGCCGCCCAGGCTGGAGGGCAGTGGTGCGATCTCGGCTCACTGCAAGCTCCGCCTCCCGGGTTCAGGCCATTCTCCTGCCTCAGCCTCCGGAGTAGCTGGGACTACAGGCGCCTGCCACCACGCCCGGCTAAAATTTTGTATTTTTAGTAGAGACGGGGTTTCACCATGTTAGCCAGGATGGTCTCGATCTCCCGACCTCGTGATCCACACCTCGGCCTCCCAAAGTGCTGGGATTACAGGCGTGAGCCACTGCTCCCGGCCTTTCTTTGCCTATTAAACCTCTGCTCCTAAACTCCTTGTGTGTGTTCATGTCCTTAATCTTCTTGACGCAAGACGAGTAACAGCGGGTATTTGCCCCAGATAAGGATGCCACTTCACCACCACACATGGCTAATTTTATTTATTTTATTGAATAACTTTTAGTAAGAAACCTCACCTGGATTTTTAAAACAAAATTTTGTTTAATATCTTTTTTTTTTTTTTTTTTTTTTTGAGACGGAGTTTCGCTCTTGTTGCCCAGGCTGGAGTGCAATGGCATGATCTCTATCATGGCTCACTGCCACCTCCACCTCCCGGGTTCAAGCAGTTCTCCTGCCTCAGCCTCCTGAGTAGCTGGGATTACAGGTGCCCGCCACCACGCCTGGCTAATTTTGTATTTTTAGTAGAGATGAGGTTTCTCCATATTGGTCAGGCTGTTCTCCAACTCCTGACATCAGGTGATCTGCCCACCTCAGCCTCCTAAAGTGCTGGGATTACAGGCATAAGCCACCATGCCTGGCCCTTTAATATCTTTTAGTAAGAACATTTTTAATTTTTTTGTATTTTTTACTTATTTTTTTGTTTGTTTTTTTGAGGGAGGGTCTTGCTCTGTTGCCCAGGCTGGAGTACAATGGCACCGTTACAGCTCACTGCTGCCTCAACCACCTGGACTCAAGTGATCCTCCTGAGTAGCTGGGACTATAGGTATGTGCCACCATGCCTGGCTAATTTTCTTTTTGTATTTTTAAATAGAAACAGGGTTTGGCCATATTGCCCAGGCTGGTCTCAAACTCCTGAGCTCAAGGGATCTTCCTGCCTTGGTCTCCCAAAGTGCTGGGATTACAGGCATGCTCCACTGTGCCCAGCCTATTTTTCTTATTTGTAGGGATGGGGTCCCGCTATGTTGCCCAGACTGATCACAAACTCCTGAGCTCAAGTGATTCTCCCACCTCAGCCTCCCAACGTGCTGGGATTACAGGCGTGAGCCACTACACCTGGCCAAAAGCTGATTATTTTAACCATCAAATCAAGAGACAGACATCATATCCACAAGCAAGAATATGTACATATCGAGAAGTGTGATATTACTTCAATAACAGGTTACTATTGTTTTTTTTCTTCTTTTTCGTATTGTTTTGATTTGGTAAACTTGATTATTTATTTTCATGTATAAATTATGAGTGCTATAAATTCATACCATTTCTACTTACTATCCACAATGACCAGAATAATCTCTTAACTTCATAATTCCAATTGTTTCTATCGTTTTACTTTACCACTAATTTCAGCCACTTTAGATTTTTCTTTTTTTTTTTTTTCTGACTTCTCTATCCTTTCCCCACCCTTTCCCCCTTTTCTATTCCACAAAACTGCCATCGTCATCATGGCCCGTTCTCAATGAGCTGTTGGGCACACCTCCCAGACGGGGTGGTGGCCGGGCAGAGGGGCTCCTCACTTCCCAGAAGGGGCCGCCGGGCAGAGGGGCCCCCCCACCTCCCGGACGGGGCGGCGGCCGGGCAGAGGCGGGCCCCCCACCTCCCTCCCGGACGGGGCGGCTGGCCGGGCGGGGACTGACCCCCACCTCCCTCCCGGACGGGGCGGCTGGCCGGGCGGGGGCTGACCCCCCACCTCCCTCCCGGACGGAGCGGCTGGCCGGGCGGGGCCTGACCCCCCACCTCCCTCCCGGACGGGGCGGCTGGCCGGGCGGGGGCTGACCCCCCACCTCCCTCCCGGATGAGGTGGCTGCCGGGCGGAGGGGCTCCTCACTTCCCAGACGGGGTGGCTGCCGGGCGGAGGGGCTCCTCACTTCCCAGACGGGGTGGCTGCCGGGCGGAGGGGCTCCTTACTTCTCAGACGGGGCGGCTGCCGGGCGGAGGGGCTCCTCACTTCTCAGACGGGGTCGCGGCCGGGCAGAGGCGCTCCTCACATCCTAGACGGGGCGGCGGGGCAGAGGCGCTCCCCGCATCTCAGACGATGGGCGGCCGGGCTGAGACGCTCCTCACTTCCTAGATGGGATGGCGGCCGGGAAGAGGCACTCCTCACTTCCCAGACTGGGCAGCCGGGCAGAGGGGCTCCTCACATCCCAGACGATGGGCGGCCAGGCAGAGACGCTCCTCACTTCCCAGACGGGGTGGCGGCCGGGCAGAGGATGCAATCTCGGCACTCTGGGAGGCCAAGTCAGGCGGCTGGGAGGTGGAGGTTGTAGCGAGCCGAGATCACGCCACTGCACTCCAGCCTGGGCAACATTGAGCACTGAGTGAACCAGACTCCGTCTGCAATCCCGGCACCTCGGGAGGCCGAGGCTGGCAGATCACTCGCGGTTAGGAGCTGGAGACCAGCCCGGCCAACACAGCGAAACCCGGTCTCCACCAAAAAAATACGAAAACCAGTCAGGCGTGGCGGCACGCGCCTGCAATCGCAGGCACTCGGCAGGCTGAGGCAGGAGAATCAGGCAGGGAGGTTGCAGTGAGCCGAGATGGCAGCAGTACAGTCCAGCTTTGGCTCAGCATCAGAGGGAGACCGTGGAAAGAGAGGGAGAGGGAGACCGTGGGGAGAGGGAGAGGGAGAGGGAGAGGGAGAGCTAGATTTTTAAAAGTGGGTGCTTTATAATACATTTGCTTCAAAAAATATATTTAACTGAAAAAGTTAAATGAAATACATTTATACATTGAATTACCAAGAATACCAGTAATACATTTTCATAAATGTAATACATAGTAATACATTTTCATAAATGTAATACATAGTAATACATTTTCATAAATGTAATACATAGTAATACATTTTCATAAATGTAATACATAGTAATACATTTTCATAAATGTAATACATAGTAATACATTTTCATAAATGTAATACATAGTAATACATTTTCATAAAATCGAATACATTATTTCATGTGATCTTTACAATGTTTCTGAAATAAATTATCACCATTTTATAGTTGAGGCAAGTTAGTGGCAGAGCTGGAATGAGATTTAAGTACTGATTGATTTACTTACGTTGCCCTATATACTACATAATCAGAACATTTTATGTAGGATAGTAAAAAGATTAAAATATCCAATAAGAATGATAGCGTAAGGCCGGTCACAGTGACTCATACCTGTAATCCCAGGGCTTTAGGGCATTGGGGCAGGAGGATCACCTGATCTCAGGAGTTTGAGACAAGCCTGGGTAACATAGCAAGATCCATCTCTACAAAAAATAAAGATTAGCTGGGCATGGAGGCACCTGCCTGTAGTCCCAGCTACATGGGAGGCTGAGGCAAGAGAATTGCTTGAGCCTAGAAATTTGAGGCTGCAGTGAGTCCGATGGGTTCACCTTGCCCACTGCCTAGACAGAGCTGATTTATCAAGATAGGGGAATTGCAATTGAGAAAGAGTGATTCATGAACAGCTGGCTATGCAGCAGACCAGAGTTTTATTATTTACTCAAATCAGTCTCGCTGAGCATTCAGGAAGCAGAGTTTTTAAGGAGAACTTGGTGGTTTGGGGGGGGAAGCCAGTGAGCCAGGAGTGCCCATTGGTCAGGGATGAAGTCATAGGGAGTCGAAGCTGTCTTCTTGGACTGAATCAGTTCCTGGGTGGGAGCCACAAGATCAGAAGAGCCAGTTTATTGATCTGGGTGGTGCCAGCTGACCAAGCGCAGGGTCTTGCAAAATATCTCAAGCACTGATCTGAGGAGCATTTTAGCGAGGGTAAGAATCTTGTAGCTTCCAGCTGTAAGACTCCTAAAACCATAATTTCTAATCTTATGGCTAATGTTAGCCCTACAAAGGCAGTCTAGTCCCCAGGCAAGAAGAAGGTCTGCTTTGGGAAAGGGCTGTTATCATCTTTGCTTTAAACTATAAACTAACTTTCTCCCAAAGTTAGTTCAGCCTATGCCTAGGAATGAACAGGACAACTTGGAGGTTAGAAGCAAGATGGAGTCAATTAAGTTAGATCTCTTTCACCGTCTCAGTCATAATTTTGCAAAGGCAGTTTCAGCACCACTGCACTCCAGGCGGGGCAACAAAGTGAGACCCTGTCTCTAAAACAAAGAATGGTAGTATAAGTGAAAACCATGGTCGGGTGCGGTGGCTCACGCTTGTAATCCCAGCACTTTGGGAAGCTGAGGTGGGTGGATCACCTGAGGTCGGGAGTTCGACCAGCCTGACCAACATGGAGAAACCCCATCTCTACTAAAAATACAAAATTAGCCAGGCGTGGTGGCACATGCCTGTAATCCCAGCTAGTTGGGAGGCTGAGGCAGGAGAATCGCTTGAACCCGGAAGGCAGAGGTTGTGGTGAGCCAAGATAGTGCCATTGCAGTCCAGCCTGGACAACAAGAGCAAAACTCTGACTCAAAAAAAAAAAAAAAGAAAAGAAAACCTTTACCTTAACTTTGAATATATATGTATCTGTCCTACATGAACTCTTTAACTGGTTCATCTTCGACATAATTAAAAAATCTCCATAAACAGAGGAATAGTGTTTGTACATAAAAATGGATAAATTTTTCTTCCATGATGAAATAACACTCTTGGACAATTTTTAAGTTTATTAATGGAGATAGGTTGAATTAATGTTTGGGGGAAAATACTGTAACTTGGCCTGGGGCAGTGGCACATACCTGTAATCCCAGCACTTCCAGAGGCCGAGGCGGGTGGGTCACTTGCGGCCAGGATTTTGAGACCAGCCTGGCCCACATGGCAAAACCCCATCTCTAATAAAAATACAAAAAAATTAGCTAGGTGTGGTGGCACGCACCTCTAATTCCAGCTACTTGGGAGGCTGAGGCAGAAGAATCGCTTAAACCTGAGTGGAGGAGGTTGCAGTGAGCTGAGATCACACCCATGCACTCCAGCCTGGGCGACTCCGTTTCAAACAAACAAACAAACAAAAGTATAACTTGATATACTATTCTATTATTTTGGGAACTCCAGAGCTGATATAGCTGAATTTCTAGAGGTACCTTTCCATAGGGTAATATTTAATTAATTAATCCATTACTCTTTGTTTAAATTTCAATTTCAGAACTATCACAAGCAGAGGGGATAAATTTTCTTTCTAAAAGGATCAAAATTTAAGAAATTAACATTGCGATTGAGTTATATTTTGGTTGACCATTTATTTTATTTTTTTAAATTTTTAATTTTTTTTTCCTTTTTTGTTTTTCCTTTAATTTTTAAATTTTTTTAAAAAGTAGAGACAGTGTCTCACTATGTTGCCCAGGCTTGTCTTGAACTCCTGGGTTCAAGCAATCCTCCCATCTTGGCCTTCCAAAGTGCTGGAATTATAGGCATGAGCCACCACACCCAGCCATGGTTGACCATTTTAAATTTATTTTCAGTCCATAAAAATAGGCCGGGCACTGTGGCTCACGCCTGTAATCCCAGCACTTTGGGAGGCCGAGGCAGATGGATTGCCTGAGGTCAGCAGTTGGAGACCAGCCTGGCCAACATGGTGAAACCCCATCTCTACTAAAAATACAAAAAATTAGCTGGGCGTGGTGACAGGCGCCTGTAATTCCAGCTACTCGGGAGGCTGAGGCAGGAGAATCGCTTGAACCTGGGAGGCGGAGGTTACAGTAAGCTAAGATCCTGCCATTGTACTCCAGCATGGGTGACAGAGTGAGACTCTATCTTAAAAAAAACAACAACAAAAAAATATATATATATATTTGTGGGCATGGTGGCATGAACCTGTAGTCCAAGCTACTCAGGAGGTTGAGGTAAGAGGATCTCCTGAGTCTAGGAGTTCAAGACTGTAGTGCACAATAATTGTGCCTGTGAATAGCCACTGCACTCCAGCCTGGACCACATAGCAAGATCCCCATCTCAAAAATAAAATAAAAATAAATAAAATTACTTAATTTAGAAAATTTTGGAATGGTAAATTATTATTATGCAATATGTGTGAACATAGATATATAAAGGTAACATTATAATCTTTAAATGATTCATGAACTCAATATGGTGACAATAAAAAAAGTGAGTTTAATTAATTGAGATTGATAGCCACATTCTACTAAATCAATAAAACAATTGGAACAGTTTTAAAATTTACAAGATATCATACCTATTAAAGATATGGAATGAAGGAAAATGCATGGATGACAGCTAGATAATTTTACTTGGAGTCGGAATTTTAAATTGGCAGTTATGAAGTACATGATACATAAAGAGACAACCTATGGACTAGGCACGGTGACTCACGCCTGTAATCCTAGCACTTTGGGAGGCCGAGGCACGTGGATCTCACTTGAGGTCAGGAGTTCGAGATCGGCCTGTTCAACATGGTGAAACCCCGCCTCTACTAAAAATACAAAAAACAATTAGCCAGGCATGGTGGTGGGCACCTGTAATGCTAGCTACTCGGGAGGCTGAGGCAAGAGAATCACTTGAACTTGGGAGGTGGAGGTTGCAGTGAGCCAAGATCACGCCACTGCACTCTAGCCTGGGTGACAGAGTGACACTCTGTCTCAGAAAAAACAACAACAACAAAAAAAGAGACAACCAATGAAATACATAGATGACCATAATTTTGAAGTTTTAGAAACTTACAACCCACAGGGACCTCAGGTTAGATTCCCTAATTATTGTTGCACGGTATCTCTCATGACATTTTTGTGAAAAAGAAAAAAGGTGAAAAAAGGGATATTATGAAAGTAAACATAAAAATTAAAAAATTTCCTTGCCACACTTAAGAATGAATACTGTTTTTAGTTGGTGTGCATGGGTGTGGTACCTGTGTGATAATATTCTGCATTGAGTTAGATAAATGCTTTTAATTTGAGAAGTATGGCTTAAAGTCTGTATTATGTTACATTTACACATTTTTGGCCAGTAAATTTAAATAGATACACAGTTAAAGGTACCAACTACTATTGCAATATTCTTACCATCCTGAGTCTATTATTAAAAGAGTTATTAAAAACATTCCTGATGCAGTTAACAAAGAACCTTGGCAAGTGAAGACCTCCTTTTACTTTTATCCGTTTTGTTATATATACAGTTACATTTGAGTGAAAGTAAGCCATAATTTTAAAGATTTTCTAATAGTATTTCACATTTATTGAACATTATGAATTGGAAAGTTTTGGATATTGTTGAACTATACAAACATTGGAAATGCTGGAAATTTTATAAAGGATAAAAATTTTAGTCATGTGTCTGAACAGTGAGTTTTACTGCTAGTGGATTAAAAGAAACACTTTTTTAGTCATGCTTGTTCAGAGAACTTAACTTTTATTGGAGTAAGATTGTATCCTCATGCATATGAAAAATAATGAGGAGGCTGGGTACGGTGGCTCATGCCCATAATCCCAGCACTTTGGGAGGCCGAGGCGAGTGGATCACTTGATGTCAGGAGTTTGAGACCAGCCTGACCAACATGGTGAAACCCCATCTCTACTAAAAATACAAAAATTAGTCAGGCATGGTGGCACACGCCTGTAGTCCCAGCTACTCGGGAGGCTGAGGCAAGGGAATTGCTTGAATCCGGGAGGAGGAGGTTGCAGCGAGCTGAGATTGCACCACTGCATTCCAGCCTGGGCAACAGAGTGAGACTCCACCTTAAAAATAATAATAATAATAATAATAATAATAATAATTAGGCTCAGATATTAATTGAACCCTAAACCTATTCAAAGATTTGTCCACTAAATGCTGTTAAATGGACTAGCCTCCTCTTAGTTTAACCTAAAGCTAAAAAGGATTAATTCTCTTCAGTTAGCTGTCTCTTGTCAAATATTTGTTTTCAGTAATTTAGGGCAAATGACCAAAGAAAGGAATACATGGATTGAAGAAGGATTAGAGTAGTGAAAATAGTTGTTTCATGTTTCAAAGAATGCTTTCAGTCTCTTTTATTCTTTATAGCATAAGCTGATTATTTTGTTTGACATGTTTTTACAGTGACTGCTATTGATAGCACCTCTTTGTTTTGGATGTTTTCTTTTATTTTCTTTTACTGACTTTGTTGGTTTAGTTTAGCTTATAATTCCAGCCTTTCCTTACTCTGCACCCCTACCTGGCTTTTGATGTATCCCTCTTTCTGTTGCTTACACAGAAAGGCTAACTTTTTTTCTATAAATAGAAATTCTAGACAACAGCTTAAGGGCACTGGTGGAAATGATATAGTTGTAGTAACTCCATGGTTTTATTCATTGTGCCTTCAGACCTTCTGGAAAGAGGATCCTTTGGCAAAAAAAAAAAAAGACTAGAAGAAGATACATAAAATGATAACAGTTGTCTCGCTTTTTTTTTTTTTTTTTTTTTTTAGACAGAATCTGGCTCTGTCACCCAGGCTGCAGTACAGTGTTTCAATTACAGCTCACTGCAGCCTCGAACTCCCAGGCTCAAGATATCCTCCCACCTCAGCCCCCTAAGTAGCTGGGACCACAAGCACATTCCACCACGTCCAGCCAATTTTTGTATTTTTTGTAGAGATGGGGTTTCACCATGTTGCCCAGGCTGGTCTCGAACTCCCAAGCTCAAGTGATCCGCCTGCCTCGCCCTCGCAAAATGCTGGGATTACAAGTGTGAGCCACCATGCCTGGCAGTCCCATGATATTTTGCCTTTATTTTATATTTATGTCATTTTCAAATTCTCTTAATTATTTTTACAATCTATAAAAATTAAACAAGACTTTATTTTAACTTGATTTTTAGTATACAATGAGTATTGCAAAGGTCAACAGTCCAAATGCAATAATTAAACAACTTATATCTAGCTATGCATTTCAGTTTGTTCCCTTTGAAAATTTATCCTACAGCCTTCTCAAAATATGAACAAAACATATGAAATCAAAGGGTACCAATTTTAAATGAGTGGTATTCAAACTTTTTTTTGCATGTTATTTATTTATACATTATATATGTATTTACTGTATTAATATATAACATACATTATGCAATATATAGACATTTTTAAGGATGAAATAAAAATATAAAGAGGCTTTTTTTTTCTTTTGAGACAGAGTCTCCCTCTGTCACCCAGGCTGGAGTGCAGTGGCGTGACCTTGGCATGGTGATGTGTGCCTTTATTCCCAGCTACTCAAGAGGCTGAGGTGGGAAGATCCCTTGAGCCCAGGAGTTTGAGGTTGCAGTGAGCTATGATTGCATCACTGCACTCTAGCCTGGGTGGCAGAGTGAGATCTTGCCTCCAAAAAATCTGTAGGTCTAGATTTTTTTTTTTTTTAATTTTAGCATATGTGCTGCAGAAGCGAGCACAGATTTTTTTTTTTTTTTTTTTTAAGAATATTTTAGGCTGGGCATAGTGGCTCACGCCTGTAATCCCAGCACTTTGGGAGGCTGCAGTGGGCAAATCACGAGGTCAGGAGGTCAAGACTAGCCTGGCCAACATGGTGAAACCCCTTCTCTACTAAAAATACAAAAAATTGGCCAGGCCTGGTGATGGGCACCTGTAATCCCAGCTACTGGGGAGGCTGAGGCAGGAGAATCACTTGAATCCAGGACAAGGAGGTTGCAGTGAGCCGAGACTGTGCCACTGCACTCCAGCCTGGGCAACAAAGCGAGACTCAGTCTCAAAAAAAAAAAAAGAATATTTTAAATTTATTTACATGCAGGCTGGGCACGGTGGCTCACGCCTGTAATCCCACCACTTTGGGAGGCCAAGGCTGGTCAGGAGTTCGAGACCAGCCTGGCCAACTAGGTGAAACTCCATCTTACTAAAAATACAAAAATTAGCCGAGTGTGGTGGCACACACCAGTAGTCCCAGCTACTCGGGAGGCTGAGGCAGGATAATCGCTTGAACCCAGGAGGCAGAGGTTGCAGTGAGCCGAGATCGCGCCACTGCACTCCAGCCTGGGTGACAGAGTAAGACTCTGTCTAAAAAAAAAAAAAAATGTTTACATGTTGTATTTCCATTATTTAAAAAAAAGATTTGAGAGTAAATAGCAGAAAAAGTAAGAACCAAATTTTTGCATGCCTTCGTGCTATACTTTGCATTCATTTTTTTGAGGATTGGATTTATCTACTAGTCAGGTTCAAAATTTGGCATCCCTGCTCGAAATCGTGTTTTCTAGAATTTTATAGGAATGGTTGAAAGCAAAAATGAAACTGTCAGGCACAGTCCATGAAGCAGAGGATGTGGGCAGAGCAAGGACAGAGTATGTCTAAGACTTACTTTACCATGTGATCTAGGAAGCCGTCACTGTACAAAGACAACCACTGCTGGTTTGAATTAAAATAATTTTTGGCTGCTTCTCTTCACCTTCTTGGAGATCCTTCCTCAGGAATAAGGAAATAATTCAGGAAATTCACGCAGGAGCTCAGAATGTATTTCCAATCTCTGTAGTCTCCATTTTTGGCAGGCACACAGATAAGGGGATGGGAAATTAATATTGAGCCACACACAGGGGGAAGAAAATCTAATGTTCCTGAAGAAAAGGAACCTTGTTCACTGAAACAAGAAAATATTAAGGAGTAAGGCTTATCAAGTATTAAATTTATATTTACTAAGCCACTCAGTGTTAGGTCAATATCCTAAGCAGAAAAGATCAAGGAGGTAATAAACTGAAAGAAATTTTTTTTTTTTACAAAGTTCTGAATCTCCATCTGCAATAGAGATTTGTTTTTGCATTTTGCTTCTCTTTTAGAGATTGAAAGTTAGAGATAGGATTGACACACTTCTACTTGTTTTTTAAGACTCAGCACAAATATTACTTCTGATGTGAAACTTTTGAGGCTACCCTGTAGTTTCCCTCCTATGCTTCCTCATAGCATATTGTATTTTTTTTTTTTTGAGACAGAGTCTTGCTCTGTTGCCCAGGCTGGAGTGTAGTGGCATGATACCAGCTCATTGAAACCTCAGGTGATCCTCCCACCTTAGCTTTCTGAGTAGCTGGGACCACAGGAGTGTGCCACCATGTCCGGCTAATTTTTTGGTAGTTTTTGTAGAGACAGGGTTTCGCCTTGTTGCCCAGGCTGGTCTCGAACTCCTCACCTCAAGTGATCCACCTGCCTTGGCCTCCTAAAGTGCTGGGATTACAGGCATGAGCCACTGCGCCAGGCCTGTACCTCTATTTTTATTTATTTATTTATTTATTTTGTGACAGAGTCTCGCTTTTCTGCCAGGCTGGAGTGCAGCAGCATGATCTCAGCTCACCGCAACCTCCGTCTCCCGGATTCAAGTGATTCTCCTGCCTCAGCCTCCCGAGTAGCTGGGACTATAGGCGTGCACCACCACGCCCAGCTAATTTTTGTATTTTTAGTAGAGACGGGGTTTCACCATGTTGGCCAGGATAGTCTTGATCTCCTGACCTCGTGATCCACCCTCCTCAGCCTCCTAAAGTGCTGGGTTTACAGGCGTGAGCCACCACGCCTGGCCTTGTACCTCTATTTTTGAAAAGCATTATGATATAATTGTTCCTTTAAAATAAAATGTGACTGAGGCCGGGCACCATGGCTCACGCCTGTAATCCCAGCACTTTGGGAGGCTGAGATGGGTAGATCATGTGAGGTCAGGAACTAGAGACCAGCCTGGCCAACATGGTGCAACCCTGTCTCTACTAAAAATACAAAAATTAGCTGGGTGTGGTGGTGGACGCCTGTAGTCCCAGCTACTTGGGAGGCTGAGGCAGGAGAATCGCTTGAACCTGGGAGGCGGAGGTTGCAGTGAGCCAAGATCGTGCCATTGCACTCCAGCCTGGGGGACAAGAGCAAAACTCCGTCTCAAAACAAACAAACAAACAAAAACAAATAAAACATGACTGAGACTATGTGTGTGTGTTTTTTTTCTTTTTGATCCACGGTACTGCAGGGTGAAAGAACTATTTTCCTTCCTACCTAAGGTTCATGACTGAGACCCCGTAACAAAAAATAGATTAACAAGAGAAAAGCATACACATTTATTTAACGTAAGTTTTACGTGATGCGGAGCCTTCATAAGGAAATGAAGAACCGAAGCAACAGTTAAACAGAAATGTTTTTATGCTAGATCTGATGAAGAAGTGGATAGTTATGGAGAAGTATGGCCGGAAAAAGGAGGTATGATCTAATGGCAGGAAGCTGGAGGGCATTTTGCAAGGCCTGTTTGTTCAGATTCTTCTCTGAGTTCCTGTGTCTTCATAGATAAGGATGTTCCTTTTCTTCAGGTATAGGGAGAATACTTCTCTAATGAGGGACTTATGACCTGCTTCAGAGAAAGGCAGAAATGTCCTTTTCGGCTTTATGACCTGCTTCTGGAGAAAAAAGGGGAAAGGTGAGAATGAGCCTCCTCCTTCTGCTATCTTCTCAAATGCCAAGGTGTTGTATTTTGGGATAGCACGTCATGAATTCCATCAGCATCTACTACAGTGAAAGTGTTCAGGACATTGCCAAACCTCTCCCAGAGTCAGGCGTGTAAACCAGCCCGAGCGGCGGCGGCAGCTGCAGGACCGCCGTGACGACCAGAGTAGCGACCCGCGGGGAGCGGCACGGGGTGACGCTGGCTGCGGGGACCCAGTGACAGCGTGAGAGGTAATAGGTTTTGACAAGTTTGCATCATGTGTGAATATAAGCTAGTCGTTCTTGACTCAGGAGGCGTTGGAAAGTCTGCTTTGACTGTACAATTTGTTCAATGAATTTTTGTTGAAAAATATGATCCTACGATAGAAGATTCCTATAGAAAGCAAGTTAAAGTGGCCAGGCGCGGTGGCTCACGCCTGTAATCCCAGCACTTTTGGGAGACCGAGGCAGGCGAATCACCTGAGGTTGGGAGTTTCAGACCAGCCTTGACCAACATGGAGAAACCCCGTCTCTACTAAAAACACAAAAAATTAGCCGGGCGTGGTGGTACATGCCTGTAATCCCAGTTACTTGGGAGGCTGAGGCAGGAGAATAGCTTGAACCTGGGAAGCAGAGGTTGCAGTGAGCTGAGACCGTGCCATTGCACTCCAGCCTGGGCAACAGGAGTGAAACTCCATCTCAAAAAAAAAAAAAAAAAAGTTTATTGGGACAAAAAGAAAAGAAAAAACTATCAAGAACTTTTTTTTTTTTGGACAATTCAGGAAACTAGAATGGACTGGATCATTAAATGCCTTGGCCATAAATATGGTATTGTGGTTATGTAGGATAATTTTTTCTTTCTTTTTTTTTTTTTTTTAATAAATTGAGACAGGGTGTTGCTATGTTTCCCAGGCTAGTCTCAAACTCCTGGGCTCAAACAATCCACCCGCCTTAGCTCCCAAAGTGCTGGGATTACAGATGTGAGCTACCATGCATGGCCAGGAGAATGTTCTTGTTCTTAGGACAAACACGCTGAACTATTTAGTGGTGAAATGTCATGATGCCTGCAACTTACTTTCAAATGGTTCAGAAAGAGAGAGAAAAAAAATGCAAATTTGTAGAATGCTAACAAATGGTGAATCCAGGCAAAGATTATATGAGGATGTATTATGCTGTAATTTTCTTTACTTTTTCTAATTTGAAATTAAAATAGAACATAATTTAAAACAAGTTTTTCGTTTTGTTTTGTTTTGAGACAGAGTCTCACCTGTGGCCCAGCCTGTAGTGCTACGGCACAATCTTGGCTCACTGCAACCTCTGCCTCCCAGGTTCAAGAAATTCTCCTGTCTCAGCCTCTCCAGTAGCTGGGACTACAGGCGCCCACCACCACACCTGGCTAATTTTTGCATTTTTAGTAGAGACAGGGTTTCACCATATTGGTCAGGCTGGTCTCAAACTCCTGACCTCAGGTGATCCGCCTGCCTCGGCCTCCCAAAGTGCTGGGATTATAGGCATGAGCCACCACGCCTGGCCAACAAAAAAGTTTTTAAAGCCTTAAAAGAGTTTTCCTCCTGGAAGCCTACTGTAAAGAAGTAATGCCCATGGTTTTTAGATGCAAAATAAAGCACATTTTAACTCCTGAATCATTTATACTTTATTTTGTTTACTTTTTTTTTTCAAGAGACAGAGTCTCTGCCTGGTTTGGTGGGTCAGGCTTGTAATCTCAGGACTTTGGAAAGCCAAGGCAGGAGGATTGCTTGGGGCCAGGGGTTTGAGACTAGACAGGGTAACATGGCGAGACCCTGTCTCTATAAAAAATAAAAATAAAAAGGCCAGCCATCATGATGGCTCAGGCCTGTAATCTCAGCACTTTGGGAGGCTGAGGCGGGAGGATTGCTTGATACCAGGAGTTCAAGCCCAGCCTGGGCAACATAGCAAGACCTAAAAAAAGACAAGGTCTTGTTCTGTCCCCCAGGCAGGAGTGCAATGGCATGATTATAGCTCAGTACAGCCTCAAACTCCCAGGCTCAAGTAATTCTCCCACCTCTGCCTCCCCAGTAGCTGGAACCACAAGAGCGCATGCCCTCATGCCCAGCTAATTTATTTTTTATTTTTTGTAGAGATGGGGACTTGCCCTATGTTGCCCAGGCTGGTCTCCCCTCAAGGGTTCACCTGAAGCGATCCTCCTGCCTCTGCCTTCCAAAGTGCTAGGATTACAGGAGTGAACCACTGCACCTGGCCCTGAATCATATTTTAATTTACAACTGAGTTCTAAACTTTTGTCTTCCCAAGAAATTTTAAAAGGAAGGCAATATAGATAACTCAAAACAAATTTGTAAAATGGAATTCACTGGCATCAGTCCAGGAGAATTAAAATTTGGGGGCTAGCTGTTAGGCATAAGTAGAAAATATGACTTAATCTGGGAATGTCTGGTCACAGATAAAACTGACATACATGTGAGTCTACAGACTGGATTAATGACATATACCTGAAAGCTTAGAAGAGTGTTTTGCAAAGAGCCCCACTGTTTGTATCCGTGAAAGTCCAGTCAGAAACATAGAAGCCACTGTTTGAAAGAGAGAAACTAGTTCAGGGAATTGTTTACACGAGGGATGAACAGCTGAGGCTAAGAAGTTCAAAGTGGACAGTGAGGGCCAGCTGCAATGGCTCACGCCTATAATCCCAGCACTTTGAGAGGCCATAGCGGGAGGACTGCTTGGGCCCAGGAGTTCGAGACCAGGCTGGGCAACATAGTGGGACCACCCCCTGCCCCCCGCCCCCGCCTCCATCTCTTAAAAAAAAAAATCTGTTCTTTTGACTCTTTTTTTTTTTTTTTTGATTTATTTTACTTTAAGTTCTAGGATACATGTGCAGAACGTACAGGTTTGTTACATAGGTATACATGTGCCATGGTGGTTTGCTGTACCCATCAACCTGTCATCTAGGTTTTAAGCACTGCATGCCTTAGGTATTTGTCCTAATGCTCTCCTTCCCTTTGTGCCCCACCCCACAACAGGCCCCAGTGTGTGATGTTCCCCTCCCTATGTCCAAAAAATTTAAAAATTAGCTGGGCGTGGTGGCGCACACCTGTGGCCCCAGCTACTTGGGAGGCTGAGGTGGGCAGACTGCTTGAGCTGGAGAGGTCGAGGTTACAGTGAGCTGTGATTGTGTCACTGCATTCCGGAGTGGGCAACAGAGTAAGACCTTGTCTCAAAACAAAACAAAACAAAGTGGACAGTGAAGCAACTCAGAGTTAACATCAGCAGAAAGCCACAACCACCCCTACGTGTCATCATCCTCAGGAGCTACAGCCAGGGGGTCAAGGAGGAGCAGGAGCCCCTGAGGAAGGGGCTGTTCTAAGGGTACGGGAGAGAGGGGGAGAAATCCCACCTTTCCTCTTCCTTCCATCCTCTAACTTTTCACCATGACTAAGCCCAGGGGTAGGTCAAGGGCAAGGGAGTTTGGGGAAAATAGTTTCTTGTGATAAAGAGCAGAGTAGCAGAAGGGCAAGGGATGGATCTGAAAACAAGTAGCTAGAGAAGAGGCATATACACTATTCCATCTTTTTTGCTTTTTGCTAAGATTTCTCAAATTCATACTCATATGCGATAGACTTGTTTTTTGTTTTTTGTTTTGAGATGGAGCCTCACTCTGTCACCCAGGCTGGAGTGCAGTGGTGCGATCTCGGCTCACTGCAAGCTCCGCCTCCTGGGTTCACACCATTCTCCCACCTCAGCCTCCCGAGTAGCTGAGACTACAGGTGCCCGCCACCATGCCCGGCTAATTTTGTTTTTGTATTTTTTAGTAGAGACAGGGTTTCACTGTGTTAACCAGGATGGTCTCGATCTCCTGACCTCATGATCCGCCTGCCTCGGCCTCCCAGAGTGCTGGGATTACAGGTGTGAGCCACCACACCCAGCCCATATGTCATCGACTTTTAAAAAACAACAAGAAATATGAAACTCTAGTAATAATGGTTGAGTTAAGACTAATGAAAAGACAGAATTTGAAAAATAATGTCTTCTGACCATATCTGGACTTACATAGGATTGCTGCGAAACATTAAGTTTCATTTTGCATCTTCAATAAATAATCTATTTTGTAAAAAAATTATATCTGCCCTGGCCAGGTGTGTTGGTGCACGCCTGTAGTCCCAGCTACTCAAGAGGCTAAGGCAGGAGGATTGCTTGAGCCAAGAGATTGAGGCTGCAGTGAACCATGATTGTGCCACTGCACTGCCACCTGGGTGACAGAGCAAGACCCTGTCTCAATAAATAAGTAAACATATATATCTGCCATTGGTACCACCTAACTACTCTTGCATGGATAAAAATCTCTTGAGTGGATTTTTTTTTTTTTTTTTAAGAGAGTCTTGCTCTGTCACCCAGACTGGAGTGCAGTGGCATGATCTCGGCTCACTGCAACCTCCGCCTCCTGGGCTCAGGCAATTCTCCTGCCTCAGCCTCCCGAGTAGTTGGGATTACAGGTTCCTGCTATCACACCTGGCTAATTTTTTGTATTTTTAGTGGAGACAGGGTTTCACCATGTTGGCCAGGCTGGTCTTGAACCCCTGACCTCAAGTGATCCGCCCGCCTCAGCATCCCAAAGTGCTGGGATTGCAGGCATGAGCCACTGCTCCCAGCCAATAGTGGAATTCTTTTTCCAGGAGTATGTATAATGCTAAATGTTGAATACTTGTTTGCCTGAAAGTAAAGCATCATCCCTGTGATACTAAAAAAAGCTCCTGGAACAGCTGGTGTCACCTGGGGAGCAGTTTCTTTGTTGTTGTGTGGTTAAGTATTGTACCATATACAGTTATCCAGTGGCAGGGAGCTGTGCAATGTGACAAGACTCCAGAAGTGCAGGTTTAGCAGTGGCAAAGAGCTCCATTAATTATTCTTCTAGGTGTACTGTTCTCCAGACAGGAAGGAAATTCTGGGACAACGTTGTTTAAACTTTTCAGTCTGTAGACCACTTCAGGGGAAGAAAAGAAAACCTTGTATTTCACCTCTCCCACTCACTCCCCTTCCCTCTAAAGAAAACCTCTCTGGGGAGAGAGGGACAAAAGGCCTTAGATCTCCTTCTTTGTTAGCGGAATCACTTAATGATACTGGAAGCCAGTGAATGACGTTGGGATTGAAGGTAGGTAGTACAGAGGAGACAGGGATGAGTAAAACACCAGAGGAAACAAGATGCAATGGGCAGAAGTTGGTGAGTCCATGATTAGAAAGTTATCATAAAATTTAGAGTCTAAATTAAATACACCATATCAAGCAGAGTCAATAAAATAAAAAATAAAAATAAGAAAATAAATTAAATATGCCAAAATGGCAGGGGCGTTTTGTTCAGCCTGCACAATCTTTTATTTTTTTTATCTTTTTTTTTTTTTGAGATGGAGTCTGGCTCTGTCGCCCAGGCTGGAGTGCAGTGGCGCAATCTCGGCTCACTGCAATCTCCACCTCCCAGTTCAAGCAATTCTCCTGCCTTAGCCTCCCAAGTAGCTGGGATTTCAGGCGCCAGCCAACACGCCCAGTTAATTTTTGTATTTTTTTTTAGTAGGGATGGGGTTTCACCATGTTGTCTAGGCTGGTCTTGAACTCCTGACCTCAAGTAATCCGCCCACGTCTGCCTCCCAAAGTGCTGGGATTACAGGCATGAGCCACTGTGACCGGCCAATTTTTTATTTTTTAAATTTTTCTTAGTTTTTTAAAATTGTGCATGTATCTCATCTTATGCAAAATCATTTAAATTAAGTTATTTGACATTAAAAATAGAGAATTTCATATAAAAATCGAAATTCTAGCTTCTCTTATAGATTGGGATGCCGTGGCCACACTGGGCCCTGATTCCTACATGGCAGTCACTTGAACCCTCTCTGGTCCACCATGTCCCAGCCTTACCTGGTTCAGTCATGTATGTTACTTGCCTGGCCCCTGTGTGCAAGTAATCCTTTTTCCTTTCTTCTGCCTGCATTCTAAATTGCCTAAGCGTTTGCACTATCACCCTCATATTCTATCTTTTTGTATTGAATCAGCTTCTGTAGTGATTAGTGTCCATTTGTTAAGCCACTATTTGAATTAATAAAAACTCATCTCAGAAATTGCAATGAATATCCCCCATGATACATCATTTCACATTTTTTTGTGAAAGGAGGGATATATGAAAGCCATTGTGTAAGCTGGGCACAGTAGCTCACGCCTGTAATCCCAGCACTTTGGGAAGTCAAGGTGGGCAGATTGCTTGAGCGCAGGAGTTCAGGACCAGCCTAGGCAGCATGGTGAAACCCCGTCTTAACAAAAAATACAAAAAATCAGCTGGGCTTTGGTGGCACCTCTGTAGTCCCAGCTACTTGGGAGGCTGAGGTGGGATCGCTTGAGCCTAGGAGGTCGAGACTGCAGTAGCCATGATCATGCCACTGCAATCCAGCCTGGGTGATGAAGTGAGACCATGTCTCAAAAAAAAAAAAATTGTATGATTACACACGCAAACACATCTCTGCCTACAACTGAAAGAATTTGAGTTGACTTGAAGTAAAATTAAATTATAACAACAAAACAAGTGACAAACCACCCCACAATTAAAGGCAAAAATCCAGTAAAAAACGTCAGTTAGCTGAGATTAAGCCTTCATGTTGTAAACCTCCTTTGGGTCATTCCCTTTTTTAGTACTTACCCAGTTAAAACTTGTTTGATGCCTTAAACCCCTGCTAGACTATAAACTCTTAATGGCAGGGACTTTGTCAATCTTATATATTACCATATTCCAAAGTGCATAGCATAGAGCCTCATTAGTTCAATAAATAGATGAAAATGTATCAGGAAACTTTTTTGCTCAGTTGCTGCTAAAGAAAATCTATAGCAATCAAACATAAAATTGTTTTTCAAACTCTTAGCAGCCAGGACAAAGAAAGAAGCAGCCAAAGGTCTTGGCCTGTAGCCTGTCCGTATTGTAGGATTAGCCCCTGTCCCAGAAACAGTGTGGATAAAACAAACAAACAAACTAAACCTCCAGCTAAGAAAGTTGCTCTGGATTCCTATTTGTTGGTGCCTTGAGGAGCAAGGTACAAGGTGCATATCACTAGTCTGGCTTCCAGGACAAGACTGTGATCACTTGGAGATCACAGTCATAGAGGAACTGGTTTTCAGACAGGCACCTAGATGATGAAGAACAAAACACAAGACATATTAATTGCAATGAGGATTTAGGAGGTGGCAGAATCCTATTACTAGGTCTAGCCAATAAGATTAGAAGAGGACAGGTTGAGCATGGTGGCTTACACCTTTAAGCCCAGCACTTTGGAAAGCCAGGGCAAGAGGATGGCTTGAGCCCAGGAGTTTGAGACCAGCCTGGGCAATACAGTGAGACCTCATCTCTAAAAAAATGTTTTAAAAAAGATTAGAATAAAACAAGCTTAACTTGTAGGAAGTAACCAGAGCGATGAAGTAAACTTCCACTTTCAGAATTGGTTCCAGCATCTAGAGATAGGTCAAGACTGTAGTGCCTGGGGAACAATCTAAGAATAGAGAATCAGGAAGGCCATTAAATATTACAGGGGTAGGCCAGGCATGTTGGCTCATGCCTGTAATCCCAGCACTTTGGGAGGCCAAGGCAGGCAAATTGCTTGAGCTCAGGAGTTCAAGACTCACCTGGAGACCAGGCACAGTGGCTCACGCCTGTAATCCCGCACTTTGGGAGGCCGAGACAGGCAGATCATGAGGTCAGGAGATCGAGACCATCTTGGCTAACATGGTGAAACCCCGTCTCTACTAAAAATACAAAAAAATTAGCTGGGCGTGGTGGCGGGCGCCGGTAGTCCCAGCTACTTCGGGAGGCTGAGACAGGTGAATGGCGTGAACCCGGGAGGTGGAGTTTGCAGTGAGTCGAGATCGCGCCACTGCACTCCAGCCTGGGCAACAGAGCGAGACTCCATCTCAAAAAAAAAAAAAAAGACTCACCTGGGCAACAAGGTGAAACCCTGTCTCTAAAAAAAAAAAAAAAGAAAGAAAAAGAAAAATCAGCTGAGTGTGGTGGCATGCACCTGTGGTCCCAGTTACTCAGGAGGCTGAGGCGGGAGGATCACTTAAGCCCAGGAGGTGGAGGTTGCAGTGAGCCAAGATTGTGTCACTGCACTCTAGCCTGGGCAACAGAGCCAGATCCTGTCTCAAAAAAAAATTCTAGGGGCAACATATATATATATTTGAGATGGTCTTGCTCTGTTGTCCTGACTGGAGTGCAGTGGCACAATCACAGCTCACTGCAGCCTTGACCTCCGCGGACAAGCAATCCTCCTGCCTCAGCCTCCCAAGTAGCTGGGACCACAGGTGTGCCATCATGCCTGGCTAATTATTTTTTATTTTTATCTTTTGTAGAGACAGTGTCTTATCATGTTGCCCAGGCTTATGTATAATATTGAACTAGTTATTTCATCTCATGATGTCTTATTGTACATAGTCATATGGAAAAACAAAATTAAAATAATGAAATACCGGGGGAAAGATGTGACATACTGCAAAAATACATTAAAACTCCAAGATCTTGATGTAAGCAATAGTGAAAAATACCCATAAAAATGTTAAGTAAAGCTAAACTCCCCTATCCTGTGTGGACTTGAATGCTACTATGCCACATTCATCGACCTCTTTGGGCTCCCTCTGGTGGCACATTAGTCCTCAGTGATAACTGAGTATTTTGGAGAATTTCTTGTAAATTCCTGTGGATGAAAGCTTCATTGAATAGTTTTTTAGCTAACCAGTCATAAATATTCAAATAAGTATAAAATGATGGCTGGGCACAGTGGCTTATGTCTGTAATCCCAGCACTTTGGGAGGCTAAAGCAGGAGGATCACTTGAGCCAGGGAGTTTGGGACCAGCCTGGACAACATAGTGAGACACTGTTTTTACCGAAATAAAGAAAAGGGGTGGCACATACCTGTGGTCCCAGCTATTCAGGAGGCTGAGCTGGGAGGATCATTTGAGCTCAGGAGATTGAGCCTGCAGTGAGCTGTGATTGTGCCACTGCACTCCAGCCTGGGTGACAGAGCAAGATCCCATATCCACTGTGTGAGCCACTGTGCCCAACCAAACATTTTTCAATAAAAAAAAATTTTAAATTCATCAACCCTGGCTTACAGAAGTCAATTTAAAAAAAAATTGAGAGACAGGGTCTCACTATATTGCCCAGGTTGGTCTTCATCTCCTGGCCTCAAGTGTTCCTCCTGCCTGGGCCTCCAAAAATGCTGGGATTCCAGGGATAAGTCATCATGCCCGACCTAAAATCAGTCAATTTTTGATGTTGGTGAGGAAATAGAGTCACAGAAACCCTTATACACTCTTTTTTTTTTTTTTTTTTTTTGAGACGGAGTCTCGCTCTGTGGCCCAGGCGGGAGCGCAGTGGCGCAATCTCGGCTCACTGCAAGCTCCGCCTCCCGGGTTCACGCCATTCTCCTGCCTCAGCCTCCCGAGTAGCTGGGACTACAGGCGCCCACCATCACGCCCGGCTATTTTTTTTGTATTTTTAGTAGAGACGGGGTTTCACCGTGTTAGCCAGGATGGTCTCGATCTCTTGACCTCGTGATCCGCCCGCCTCGGCCTCCCAAAGTGCTGGGATTACAAGCGTGAGCCACCGCGCCCGGCCCCTTATACACTCTTGATGTGACTGAAATTTTGCTAA
Source organism: Homo sapiens (assembly GCF_000001405.40). Lineage (NCBI taxonomy): Eukaryota > Metazoa > Chordata > Mammalia > Primates > Hominidae > Homo > Homo sapiens. Next base: position 107,358 of record NW_018654721.1, read on the forward strand.
TGACTTTGGATAAAAATTTGGTATTGTCTTAAAAATTGAAAATGTCATTTCTAATCCAGCAATTTCACTCCTATGTATTTACCTTAGAGAAACTTTGGCACAAACACCAACAAACATATGTGGGAATTTCTTGGCTAAAGTGTTCATAATAGCAAAACCTGGAAACGTCATAGAAGGATAAAACTGTAGTGTATTAAAAACACTAAACACAGGCCGGGCATGGTGGCTTACGCCTGTAATCCCAGTATTTTGGGAGGCTGAGGTGGGTGGATCACCTGAGGTCAGGAGTTCGAGACCAGCTGGCCAACAGGGTGAAACCCTGTCTCTACTAAAAAAATAACGAAAATTAGCTGGGTGTGTGTGTGCCTGTAATTCCAGCTATTCAGGGGGCTGAGGCATGAGAATCACTTGAACCCAAGAGGCGGAGGTTGCAGTGAACCGAGATCACGTCACTGCACTTCAGCCTGGGCGATAGAGTGAGACTCTGTCTCAAAAAGCAAAAACAAAAACAAAAACTAAAATTGAAACACTATACAGCAGTGAAAATGGGTAAACCATAGCGGTAGGCATGAATATGGATGAGAACCTCAAAAATGCTAAATGGGGAAAAAACTATCACAGAAAAATATATAGAGCATGATTCCATTATGTAAAGGTCAAAGACAGGCTGGGTGTGGTGGCTCATGCCTGTAATCCCAGCACTTTGGGAGGCCAAGATGCATGCATCCCTTGAGCCCAGGCATTTGAGACCAAGTGTGGGCAGCATGGTGAAACCCTGTCTCTACAAAAAATACAAAAATTAGCAGGGTGTGGTGGTGTGCACCTGTGGTACCAGCTACTTGGGGGGCTGAGGTGGGAGGATTGCTTGAGGCCAGGAGGTTGAGGCTGCAGTGAGCTGTGGTCATGCCACTGTACTCCAGCCTGGGCGGCAGAATGAGACTCCATCTCAAAAACAAAAAAACAAACAAACAAAAAACCTCAGCAAACAGTACTTCTTTTCTCCATCAAGCTACCTATTAGCAATACATCTTTTACTTTTAAGAAATCTAAGCTATAGGTCAGGCGCGGTGACTCACACCTGTAATCCCAGCATTTTGGGAGGCAAAGGTGGATGGATTACTTGAGCAGGAGTTTGAGACCAGCCTGGCCAACACGGTGAAACCCCATCTCCACCAAAAATTACAAAATTTAGCTGAGTGCGGTGGTGTGCACCTATAATCCCAGCTATTCGGGAGGCTGAGGCAGGAGAATCACTTGAACCCGGGAGACAGAGGTTTCAGGGAGCCGAGACCATTCCACTGTACTCTAGCCTGGGCGGCAGAGCAAGATTCTGTCTCAAAAACAGAACAGAACAAAACAAAAATCTAAGCTACATTACTTTTTTTTTTGGAGATGGAGTTTTGCCCTTGTTGCCCAAGCCATAGTGAAATGAAGCCATCTCGACTCACTGCAACCTCCACCTCCCAGGTTCAAGTGATCCTCCTGCCTCAGCCTCCCGAGTAGCTTGGATTACAGGTGCACACCACCACACCTGGCTAATTTTTTGTATTTTTAGTAAAATGGGGTTTCACCATTTTAGCCAGGCTGGTCTCGAACTCCTGACCTCAGATGATCTGCACGCCTCGGCCTCCGAAAGTGCTGGGATTACAGGCATGAGCCACTGCGCCCAGCCTATATTACATTTTAAAAGAAGTTATTTGCCATTTTATTGTTGTTTATTATTCATATAATAAATTTTACTGTTTAAACTCCATTTTGTTATTATAAATTTATTTAAATGCTATTTATTTTATTGCTTAAAAAAATTTTTTTTGGACAGGGTCTCACTCTGTCACCCAGGCTGGAATGCAGTGGCTCAATCACGGCTCACTGCAGTCTCAACCACCCGGGCTCAAACAATCCTCCCACCTCAGGCCCCTAAGTAGCTGGTACCACGGGTGCACACGACCATGCCCTGAGAATTTTTGTATATTTTGTAGAGACAGGGGTCTTCCCATGTTGCCCAGGCTGGTCTCAAACTCCTGGGCTCAAGCAATCCACCCGCCTCACCCTTCTAAAGTGCTGGGATTACAGGTGTGAGCCACTGCTCCTGGCTAATACGCTACATTTTTTAAAGCCTATTTTTAAAATAAGTTTTTTCTTTGTTTGTTTTTACTTTTTTAGAGATGGGGGTCTCACTATGCTGCCCGTGCTAGAATATAGTGATTATTTACAAGTGCAATCATACCATGCTATAGACTGAAACTCCTCGGTTCAAACAATCTTCCTGTCTCAGCCTCCTGAGTAACTGGGACTACAGGCATGCACCAACATGCCCAGCAAAAAGAAGCTATGTTTAATATGGTTATTATGAGCAAGACTGTCATGTCTAAAGCAACAGACTTCAGTTTTACATGAAAAGTGCAGATACCAATGCATTTGCCTCTGATGATCTGTGATTATCCTTCTGATAGAATAATCTCTTGTTTGAGCTAAGCACATCTTGTTTGAAATACGATTATATATTTAGCAATCCTGACCTCTCATAGGACTTTTACACCTATAATAAAATTATTAATGCTTTGCATTTGTAAGGCATTTCATGGATTTTCAAGTGTCACTAGAAGACGTTTCCCTCATTGTACAGTTCAGAAAACTGAAGACAAGAGGCTGGGTGCGGTGGCTCATGCCTGTAATCCTGGCACTTTGGGAGGCTGAGGCGGGCAGATCACGAGGTCAGGAGATCGAGACCAGCCTGGCCAACATGGTAAAATCCCATCTCTACTAAAAATACAAAAAATTGGGCAGGCGCAGTGGCTCACGCCTGTAATCCCAGCACTTTGGGAGGCTGAGGCGGGCAGATCACCTGAGCTCAGGAGTTTGAGAGCAGCCTGGCCAACATGGTGAAACCCCATGTCTACTAAAGATAGAAAAATTAGCCAGATGTAGTTGTGGGCGACTGTAATCCCAGATACTTGGGAGGCTGTGGCAAGAGAATTGCTTGAACCCGGGAGGTGGAGGCTGCAGTGAGCCGAGATCGAGCCATTGCACTCCAGCCTGGGTAACAGAGTGAGACTCCGTCTCAAAAAAAAAAAAAAAAAAGAAAAAAAGAAACAAAAAAAGAAAACTGAAGACAAGAGAGAAGTTTTTTTCTTTTTTTTCTTTTTTGAGACAGGGTCTCGCTCTGTCACCCAGGATGTAGTGCAGTGGTGTGATCACGGCTCACTGCAGCCCCCATGTCCCAGGATCAAGCAATCCTCCTGCCTCAGCCTCCCAGGTAGATGGGACTACAGATGTGCATTACTACACTTGGCTAAAGAGAGGTTTTAATAAATAAAATAGCTATAATTTGGTAGGTAGAATTTAAATTATTGTATTAATAATTGTCTTCATATGCTATAACAAAATGCCATAAATTGCATGGCTTAAACAACAGTTTAAGCCATTTAATGAAATGCAAGGCAGCATGTTAGGCACTGACAGAATTACAGCATTAATAATATGACATGATCTGTGTCTCCAAGAAGCTTACAATGTAGGAAGGGCAATCTGCCAGTATTTTAATTTAATTTTATTTATTTATTTATTTACTTTATTATTTATCATTTTGAGATGGAGTTTCACTCTTGCCGCCCAAGCTGGAGTGCAATGGCATGATCTTGGCTCTCTGCAACCTCCACCTCTTGGGTTCAAGTGATTCTCCTGCCTCAACCTCCCAAGTAGCTGGGATTACAGGTGCCCACCACCATGCCCAGCTAATTTTGTATTTTTAGTAGAGATGGGGTTTCGCCATGTTGGTCTGGCTGGACTCAAACTCCTGACCTTGGGTGATCCACCACCTCGGCCTCCCAAAGTGCTGGGTTTACAGACATGAGCCACCACTCTTGGCCTTTATTTACTTATTTTTTGAGATGGAGTCTCACTCTGTTGCCCAGGCTGGAATGCAGTGGTGTGATCTCGGCTCACTGCAACCCCTGCCTCCCAGTTTCAAGTGATTCTCCTCCCTCAGCCTCCAAAAGTATCTGGGATTACAGGTGCCTGCCACAGTGCCCAGCTAATTTTTGTATTTTTAGTAGAGACTGGGTTTTGCCATGTTGGCCAGGCTGGTCTTGAGCTCCTGACTTCAGGTGATCTACCTGCCTCGGCCTCCCAAAGTGTTGGGATTACAGGCGTGAGCCACTATGCCAGACCTATTTTATTTATTACTATTTTTTGAGACAGGGTCTCACTCTGTTATGCAGGCTGGAATGTAGTGATGTTACCACGGCTCACTGCAGCCTCAACCTCCTTGCCTCAAGTGATCCTCCCGCCTCAGCCTCCAAAAGTAGCTGGGACTACAGGTGCGTGCCACCGCCCCTGGCTAATTTTGTTTGTTTGTTTGTTTGTTTGTTTTGTAGACATGGGGTCCCACTATGTTGCCTTGGCTGATCTGCCAGTATTTTAGGGGAGATATAGTAATAGCTTTTGTTAATGGGCTAAAAAAACTAGGCTTCTTCTCAGTTAACACATTAAAAAGAGCCCCTAGTACTTTTCCTTTACCATTAGACGCATACAGAGTGCATTTGGTAAATTAGTAAGCACACCAAGGGAGAGGCAACACACTGACCTATATCAATGTATTGTTTTTCATTTAAATAGCATCTTAATTCACTGGAGACTTTAAATGAATGTTTATTAGAATATTTACACCTATTGATTACCATGGTAGCAGATGATTAGTGAGTTCGATGCCACAATTAAAATGAAAATTCCTACTGCTCTGATGAACAGGAATGTCCAGATGATGGCAAGTCTGAAACTTGCAACAATCAGATAAATTATTGCATGAACCCTTAAGCAATGACAATCTTTTGCAAATATGTCTGATTCTAGAAGGTTCACACAATTATAGCTTTGGACTATTGAGAGGGTCTTAGTCCAATCCAGCTGCACACGTGCCTTTGAACTTAAGTAATATCTACTGTGAATAGCACACATTTCTCAGCACAAATCTCTTTGCCTTTTAGTTTTACTACCATAATGAAAATGTTAAATAGTACAGAATAATAATATTTATGTCAAAAATAGTAAGAGAGTTTTGCATTATAGATCCTTGGATGAATTCAAATAGAAAGAAATCAGAGGAGTATTTTACTGACAAATGATCCCACCTGCTGTCAAGTGGGCAGAGCTTTGAAGATCACCCAAGACTGGGAATTTCTTTTTTTCTTTCTTTCTTTTTTTTTTTTTTTTTCAGACAGAGTCTCACTCTGTTGCCCAGGCTGGAGTGCAGTGGTATGATCTCAGCTCACTGCAACCTCCGCTTCCTGGGTTCTAGTGATTCTCCTGCCTCAGCCTCCCAGGTAGCTGAGACTACAAGTGTGCGCCACCACCACCCAGCTAATTTTTGTATTTTTCGTAGAGATGGGGTTTCACCATCTCGGCCAGGCTGGTCTCAAACTCCTGACCTCAAGTGATCCGCCCACCTTGGCCTCCCAGAGTGCTGGGATTACAGGTGTGAATCACCATGCCCAGCCAAAACTGGAAATTTCTAAGCCAAAGATTATTTTTGTACACATTCACCATTCTTCTATAGGCAAACAAACTAAAATACATTGTTATTTAATTTTAGAGACTCCTAGAGATTTTCTAAACTAGGATTTGCAATTGTTTTTAAAAAACAGTGGCACACTACCTTTAAACAAAATCACATACAGCAGCCCAACATATTAAACTACTGTCTGGGAGGAGGTAGGAAATTCTTTATCTAACAAATGGGGAAAATCAGTAAGCTATATTATGAGGCTTTTAATGAGTAAGATGACTCACAGCTGAAAGAATTTGCCCTTGACTGCTATGACAGAATACTTTGTTAAAACAGAGGACAGTCTTGCAATTCAGAGCAAGAACAGTGGGAAACCATCTTTTCTATTCCATTCCCAGCAACTAAATTATTATGAATGGAAATATGTCCAAATGTGGTTAATATCTTCTACTTATACTTCTCATACAAACTGGTATACAGGCCAGGTGCAGTGCCTCATGTCTGTAATCCCAGAACTTTGAGAGGCTGAGGTGGGAGGATTGCTTGTGCTCAGGAGTTCAAGGCTGCAGTGAGCAGCCTAGGTGACAGAGCAAGACCCTGCCTCAAACAAAACAAAACAAAAACAAATTGGTGTATGAAACCAGTCTGAGACCTTCAGCTTTGAAGACTCACAGAAGATAATTATTATAATTTAAAATTTTCCACGTTACAGTTCTGTAATAGTGGAGTAGTTTGTATTGGATCAACATTCCCACATACAATAATAATATATATTTTAAAGACAGGGTCTCGCTCTGTCACCCAGGCTGGAGTGCAGTGGCTCAATCATAGCTCACTGTAACCCGGAACTCCTGGGCCTAAGGGATCCTCCAGCCTCAGCCTCCTAAGTAGCTAGGACAACAGGCACAGGCCATCATGCCTGGCTAGTTTTTAAATTTTTGGTAGAGGCAGGGTCTTGCTATGTTGCTCAGGCTGGTCTCAAACTCCTGGCCTCTATTGATCCTCCCATCTCAGCCTCCCAAATGCTGGGATTACAGGCATGAATCACCATGCCTGACCGAGAGTAGATCTTGAATGTTCTAACTACACATGAAAAAACAGTAACTATGTGAGGCAATGGATATATGATATGATATGGTTAGGCTTTATGTCACCACCCAAATCTCATCTTGTATTGTAATCCCCAGGTGTTGAGGGAGGAGGCTGGTGGGCGGTGACTGGATCATGGGGGCATTTCCCCGCATCCTGTTCTCCTGATAGTGAGTGAGTTCTCACGAGATCTGGTGGGTTTATAAGGCAGTTTTCCCTGCTCTTGCTCATGCCCTCTCACCTGCCCCGTTGTAAGATGTGCCTGCTTCCCCTTCCTCTGCAATTGTAAGTTTCCTGAGGCCTCCCCAGCCATGCAGAACCGTGAGTCAATTAAACCTCTTTTTTTTAATAAATGACCCAGTCTTGGGTTTGTCTTTACAGCAGTGTGAAAATGGATGAATACATGCTAATTAGCTTGATTGTGGTATTCATTTAACACTATATGCATATGTGAAAACATCATGTTGTACACCATCAATATATACAACTTTTAATTTTATTATTTTATTTATTTATTATTCTTAAAATTTTTCCTGAGACCGGGTCTTACTCTGTCACCCAGCCTATAGTGCAGTGGCATGATTATAGCTCACTGCAGCTTCAACCTCCTGGGTTTAAGTGATCCTCCCACATCAGACTCCTGAGTAGCTGGGACTACAGGCATGCACCACCATGCCAAGCTAATTTTTGTCATTTTTGTAGAGACAGGGTTTCACTCTGTTGCCCAGGCTGGTCTCAAACTGCTGGCCTCAAGTAATCCACCCACACTGGCCTCCCAAAGTGCCAAAATTACAGATTTGAGCCACCGCACCTGGCCCATTATTATTTTTTTGGAATGGGGTCTCACTATGTGGCCCAGGCTGGTGTTGAACTCCTGGCCTTAGTGATCCTCCTGCCTCAGTCTCCCAAAGTGTTGGGAGTCTCCCAAAGTAGCTCATGGCTATGAGCCACTGTGCCCAGCCTATAAGCACATACAATTTTATTTCATCAATGTTACCTCAGTAAAGCTGGGAGGGAAGAAAGAAAGAAATTAATCAACAGGCCAGACGCAGTGGCTCAATCCTGTAATCCTAGCACATTGGGAGGTTGAGGTGGGTAGATCACCTGAGGTCAGGAGTTCGAGATCAGCCTGGCAAACATGGTGAAACCCCATTTCTACTAAAAATACAAAAAAAAAAATAGCCTGACATGGTGGCATGTGCCTGTAATCCCAGCTACTCAGGAGGCTGAGGCAGGAGCATCACTTGAACCTGGGAGGCTAAGGTTGCAGTGAGCTGAGATCATGCCACTGCACAACAGCCTGGGCAACACGAGCAAAACTCCGTCTCAAATAAATAAATAAATAAATAAATAAATAAATAAAATCAGTAATCTAAATTTCCACTTTAAGAAGCTAGAAAAATACTCTGTTCCCCTTCTCACTACTGCGCTTGACTGGTCTCAAAAAAAAAAAAAAAAAGCTAGAAAACGAGGATCAGCTGCAAAAACCTCAGAGCTAACCTCACACAATCAGTGAAATATTGAATTATTTTTTGTAAGATCAGGAACAAGCCAAGACGTCCCCTCTCAACATTTCAACTCAACATTGTATTAGAAATCTTAGCGAATGCAAATAAATAAATAAATAAAAGGAACCGGGCACAGTGGCCCACACTTGTAATACCAGCACTTTGGGAGGCTAAGGTGAGCGGATTACTTGAGGTCAGGAGTTCGAGACCAACCTGGCCAACATGGCAAAACCCCATCTCTATTGCAAATACAAAATTAGCCAGGCGTGGTGCCACGTGCCTGTAATCCCAGCTACTCAGGAGGCTGAGGCAGGAGAATCGCTTGAACTGGGGCTTGAACTGGGGCGGGGTGAGCAGGGGCGGAGATGGGCAGAGTTTGCAGTTAAGAGAGCAAGACTCCATCTCAAAAAATAAATAAACAATAAAATAAACGGAATACAGATGGGAAATGAATAAGTAAAACTTTCAGTGTTCACACATATCATGATCATTAATTTTGGAAATCCAGGAATCTATAATAACTCTAGAATTAATAATCCCAAGATCATAGGACACATGGTCAATATTTTAAAATCAATGACATTGGAAATACAACTGGAAAATGAAATGAAAACAATTCTATTTACAATAGCATAAAAATACTTAGGAATAAATCTCACAAAAGCTGTGTAAGACTTCCACCCTGAACACTACAAAACAAACTGTACTATATTTATACAATGGAATACTACTCAGTAATAAAAAGGGGCCAGGCATTGTGGCTCATGCCTGTAATCCCAGCACTTTGGGAGGCCGAGGCGGGCAGACGATTTGAGGTCAGGAGTTCAAGACCAGCCTGGCAAACATGGCGAAACCTCATCTCTACTAAAAATACAAAACTTAGCTGGGCATGGTGGCAGGTGCCTGTAATCCCAGCTGCTTGGGAGGCTGAGGCAGGAGAATCGCTTGAACCAGGGAGGTAGAGGTTGTGGTGAGCCGAGATCATGCCACTGTATTCCAGCCCGGGCAACAGAGCAAGACCCTGTCTCTAAATAAATAAACAAATAGGATCAAACTATACAGTTTCTACTCTCTGCAAGTGAATAGGCTGAGAAAATTGTAAGGGACTCTGAATGGACATAAAAATTCTGCTTGTTAAGAACAAGTCTGGCTCTGGTAACTGACCTTCATAACTAAAATATAAAACTGTTTGAGAAGTATTAAAAAAAATGAACAAACTACTGAAGCCTACATCAACTTGCCTGAATCTTATTACATTGAACCAAAGAATCAAAAAAAGAATACATAATCTATGCTTCATTTGCATGTTGTTCTAGAACAGGGAACACTTATCTGTAGTGAAAAAATCAGGACAGAGTTTGTGGATGGCATTGGGATGGGGATCAACTGAGAAAGAAGAACAAAGGAGCTTTCTGGGGTGATGGGAATGTTTATCGGGAGGTTAAATGGGTATATTTAGTTGTTAAATGATACCCTTAAGATTCTTGGACACCAGGCACGGTGGCTCACGCCTGTAATCCCAGCCCTTTGGGAGGCCGAGGTGGGCGGATTACCTGAGGTCAGGAATTCGAGACCAGCCTGATCAACATGGAGAAACCTTGTCTCTACTAAAAATACAAAAAATTAGCCAGGCGTGGTGGTGCATACCTGTAATCCCAGCTACTCAGGAGGTGGAGGCAGGAGAATCGCTTGAACCCAGGAGGCAGAGGTTGCGGTGAGCCGAGATCGCGCCATTGTACTCCAGCCTGTGCAACAAGAGTGAAACTCCAACTCAAAAAAAAAAAAAAAGAAAGATTTGTGGACATCGCTGTATGGAAATTTTACCTGAAAAAATGGAAAAGAAGTATAAATAAATATTGAAATTCATGAGATTTGCTTTCCACAGTAGTATGAATTAGCAATCCTAAAAGTACCTCATTTGCATTCTAGGTTTGCGCAAATAAATAAGTATATAGGAAGATAATGAAAGCCACTTTTTTTTTCTTTTTTTTTTCTTGGAGACGGAGTCTCGCTCTGTCGCCCAGGCTGGAGTGCAGTGGCGCAATCTTGGAAAGCCACTGTTTTCTCACTGTTGGAAATGGAAGTTACACATATGGAGAAGAGGAGGGCTAGCATGAACCCCAGAGGTAGAGAGAGAGATGGACCTTAGGCCTTCTCTCTCTCTATATATATATAAAGTTATATTTATATACTTTTTTTCTAGCATTTTCTCCAGTGTGGGACTAGAAACAATGACACACCAATAGCAGTGAGCACACCTAGCACCCAGATTTGATTCCTTTATTTTCCTCTTGGGCTTGCAAAAGAATAAGGTAGTATAGAATATCCTGTGTCAAATTGGAAAAGTGTTTAAAAGGTCAGGAGCAGTGACTCATACCTGTAATCCCAGCACTTTGAAAGGCCGAGGCAGGAGAATCACTTGAGTCCAGAAGCTGGAGACCAACCTGGGCAACAGAGCGAGACCCTGTCTAAGAAGAAAAGTAGCCAGGCGTGGTGGCACACAGCTGTAGTCCCAACTACTTGGGAGGCTGAGGCAGGAGAATGGCTTGAGGCCAGGAGTTTGAGGCTGTTGTAAGCCATGTTCATGCCACTGCACTTTAAGCTTGTGCTACAGAGCAAGACCCCATCTCAAAAAAAAAAAACCAAAAACAAAAAATGAAAGAAAAGGGCTTAAAGAATGATTGGGGGCCAGGCACAGTGGCTCACGCCTGTAATCCCAGCACTTTAGGAGGCCGAGGTGGGTGGATCACCTGAGGTCAGGAGTTCGAGACCAGCCTGGCTAAAATGGTGAAACCCTGTTGAAAATACAAAAATTAGTCGGGCCTGTTTGCATGTGCCTGTAATCCCAGCTACTCAGGAGGTTGAGGCTGGAGAATCACCTGAACCCAGGAGGCAGAGGTTGCAGTGAGCTGAGATCACACCATTGAACACCAGCCTGCCAACAAGAGTGAAACTCCATCTCAAAAAAAAAAAAAAAAAAAAAAGAGTGACTGGAACACATCAAAAGGGACAAAAGATCTAACTTGAAAGTCTCTTACCAGCCAAATTCCAGGCAATTTGATCATCAAAATAAATAATGATAGAAATGGAGTATTACCCATTGAATAAAATAAGACTCTGTGAGCCCGTATTGATAAGAATTAATGAATAAATAAATAAGAAAGAAGAGAAAACTTTTACTTGTAAGAGAATGCCAACTACAAAGTGTAGAAGAAATGGTAAAGTGAAATATTATTAGCAGATGCCAAAACTAGTGGGTAAAACATGACAGAATATTCACATAGTATAAAAGTACTTTCCCATGAATTACTTAATATTAAAATTACAAATATATAAAATCAATTATTTGTAAATTAAATTGAAATAATTAAATTTTGTTTAATTAATATCCTCAAATATTAATTAATATAAAATATTAATTTTAAAATGGAGAAGTCTGGTGGCCATCATCTTCACCTGGTGATTATAGTTAACATTAGCGATATTGGGACAATCTGACATATGTCTCCTGATAAAATGCTTTAAGAAGGATATTGATATGGTTTGGCTGTGTCACCACTCAAAATCTCATCTTTGATTGTAATCCCCATAATCCTCTTGTGTCAAGGGAGAGACCGGGTGGAGGTAATTGAATCATGGGAGCAGTTCTCCCATGCTATTCTCATGATAGTGAATGAGTTCTCGCGAGATCTGATCGTTTTATAAGTGTTTGGTAGTTCCTCCTGCGCTAATTCTCCTTTTTGCGGCCTTGTGAAGAGGGTATCTTGCTTTCCCTTTGCCTTCCGCCATGATTATAAGTTTCCTGAGGTATCTCCAGCCATGGGAAACTGTGAGTCAATCCCTTTATAAATTACCCAGTCTCGGGCACTTCTTCTTCTTCTTTTTTTTCTGAGACTGAGTCTTGCTCTGTTGCCCAGGCCGGAGTGCAGTGGCGCGATCTTGGCTCACTGCAACCTCCGCCTCCCGGGTTCAAGGAATTCTCCTGCCTCAGCCTCCTGAGTAGCTGGGACTACAGGCGCACGCCACGACGGTCTCGGAGACTTCTTTATAGCAGTGTTAAAACGGACTAAACAGATATAGTATCACTTTTGTGGTATTCCTGCCAAAAATGCATAACCTGAATCTAATTATGATGAAACATAAGACACATCCAAATTGAATAACATTCTACAAAATATCTGGCCAGAGGAGCAGTTCCAGACTAAAAGAGACCAAAGATTGCCTTTATAACTGCCAGAAAAGAAAAAGAGAGATCAAAGACTCATTACAACTAAATGTAAATATGTAATCCTGGCTTGGATCCTGGACAAGGAAAAAAGAAATAGCTGTGGAGGACTCTATTTGAACAATTTATGAAATTTGAACAGGGACTGTAGATTCAATAGTATGGTATCAACGCTAAACTTTCTGATTTAGGTCATTGTACTGGTTATTTAAGAGAATGTCTTTGTATTTAGAAAATACACGCAAATGTATCAAGGGGTAAAGAACACAGTTGCCCTCTATACCTGGTAACAACTTAACTTTAAGTGGTTCAAAAAATATACATGTGCATATATGTGCATGCATGCATACAAATAAATGTGTGTCATAGAGAATGATGAAGCAAGTGGTGCAAGACAGAAACCATTTGTGGGTCTAGTGGGTAGATAGGAATTCCCTATACTATTCTTGCAAGTTTTTTTGGTAAATTTGTAATTTTTTGGGCCAGGTGCGGTGGCTCATGCCTGTAATCCCAGCACTTTGGGAGGTTGAGGCGGGTGGATCACGAGGTCAGGAGTTCGAGACCAGCGTGTCCAATATGGTGAAACCCTGTCTCTACTAAAAAAAAAAATACAAAAATTAGTTGGGCATGGTGGTGCACGCCTGTAGTCCCAGCTGGTCGGGAGGCTGAGGCAGGAAAATCTCTTGAACCTGGGAGGTAGAGGTTGCAGTGAGCTGAGATCGTGCCACTGCGCTCCAGCCTGGGCAACAGAGTGATACTCCATCTCAAAAACAAACAAACAAACAAACAAACAAACAATTTTTGTTTGTTTGTAGAGATGGGTCTCTCTATGTTGCGCAGACTGGTCTCAAAGTCCTGGGCTCCAGTGATCTTCCCACCTGGGCCTCCCAAAGTGCTGGGATTACAGGAATGAGCCATGGAGCCCAGCTATAAATTTGTAATTATATAAAAATAGTTTATGCTGAGTGAAGTGGCTCATGCCTGCAATCCCAGCATTTTGGGAGGCAGAGGCAGGAGTATCACTTATACCCAGGAGTTCGAGACCAGCCTGGGAAACATAGAGACCCTGTCTCCTATAAAAATAAAAATATATAAATAAATAAGTATAGTTTTAAAAGTTATTTGCACCACCTATATATCATATGTATAAGTGTACCTGCACACATATGTGTTTGTTTATGTGTGTACATCTACTAAATTCAGTGGTGGACTGTTATTTTTTTGGGGGGGTGAGGGGTGTTGTATTTGTGAATGTAGGAAAAACACAAGCTCTTTGTGTTAAGTTTGAAGTGGTGATCCTCATTCTTAAGGAAAACAAACCCTCTTGTATTGATAAGTCCCACTATTCACTATTCCTCAAATGTTTTATTTTTGTTTTGGAAATATTGAAGAGTTGGGAAAATATATCCCACCTTACTTTCACCCTTAATCGGAATTGGCACACTTCAGGCCAGGCACGGTGGCTCACACCTGTAATCCCAGCACTTGGGAGGTCAAGCGGGCAGATCATCTGAGCTCAGGAGTTCGAGACCAGCCTGAGAAACATGGCAAAACCCCGTCTCTACCAAAAATACAAAATGTAGTTAGGTAGGTGGTGCACACCTGTGGTCCTAGCTACTTGGGAGGCTGAGGTGGGAGGATTGCTGGAACCTGGGAAGTTGAGGCTGCAGTGAGCCATAATTGTGCCACTGCACTCCAGTCTGGGTGACAGAGTGAGACCCCATCTCAAAAACAAAACAAAACAAACAAACAAAAAAAACACCTGGCACACTTCATATCCAGAATCTATTAGGATTAACTCCCAGTTACAATTTCAAACCTGTTCATGAAGTAATTATGGTCTATTTACCTGCTTCTAGGGATGAATTGCTTGAAGGAATTGGCATGATCCAAAAAAGAACCATGTGCGACAAGTGTGGATATCTGTCCACAAAACGTACAAGATTCTGTACTATCTTTTGATATGTGGCTATGTCTCATAAAACCAAAGAAATATGAAGCTTTAGTGAAGCTTTTTTTAAATCATTATTGACATTATACACACACTTGGTTTAAAGACTCAAGTGATTTAACAAGTTTTGTTAAGAAAAACAGCACAGGCATGGTGGCTCACACCTGTAGGTCCAGCATTTTGGGAGGCCAAGGCAGGAGGACCAATCGAGCCCAGGAGTTCAAGACCAGCCTGGGCATCATAGCCATACCCCATCTATACAACCAAAATTTAAAAATTAGCTGGGCAGCCGGGCGCAGTGGCTCACGCCTGTAATCCCAGCACTTTGGGAGGCTGAGATGGGCGGATCATCTGAGGTCAGGAGTTCAAGACCAGCCTGGCCAACATGGTGAATCCCGTCTCTACTAAAAATAAAAAAAATAGCTGGGCATGGTGGTGTGTGCCTGTAATCCCAGCTACTAGGGAGGCTGAGGCAGGAGACTCTCTTGAACCCAGGAGGCGGAGTTTGCAGTGAACTGAGATCACACCACTGCACTCCAGTCTGGGCAACACAGCAAGACTGTCTCAAAAAAAAAAAATAGCTGGGCATGGTGGCATGAGCCTGTGGTCCCAGCTACTCAGGAGGCTGAGGCAAGAGGGTCACTTGAGCCCAAGAGGTCTAGGCTGCAGTCAGCAGTGATCATGCCACTGCACTCCAGTCTGGGTGATAGAGCGAGATTGTCTCAAAAAGAAAAAAGAAAAACAGCACTGCCCTTCCCTTCTTCCACCCATTACTTTCCCTTCTCTTCAGACATAACTACTTTCATCATTTATAACTGATTGTTTTGATGTTTACTGCCATGTCTTTAAACAACATGCTTAATTGTTATTTCTTGGGTCTTCAGTTTTGTAAACTATCTGTTGGTTTCCTATTGCAGATGAGGACCCAACTCTATTTGCTCTTCCTTCACCAACATTAAGTACGTAATTATGATTATGTAAACATTATTCATAGCTGAGAGAAGTAGTATATGCTATGATTATCTTCTTATCCTGAATAAATCTTTATTTTGCCTAGATTTAATAATTGTGCTTTTTCTCTCTTTTTAAAAAAAGTTTTTTAGACAGGGTCTCGCTCTGTTACCCAGGCTGGAGTGCAGTGGTGCAAACATGGCTCACTGCAGCCTGGACATCCTGGGCTCAAGTGATCCTCCCACCTCAGCCTCCCAAGCAGTGGGACTACAGGCATGTTCCACCATGCCTGTCTAGCTTTTGTATTTTTTGTAGAGACAGGGTTTCGCCATGTTGCCCAGCTTAGTCTTGAACTCCTGGGCTCAAGCAATCCACCTGCCTTGGCCTCCCAAAGTGCTAGGATTACAGGCATGAGCTACTGTGCCCAGCCTTCTTTTTTCTTTCTTTCCGTTATTTTTGAGCCCGGGTATACATACATGCATACAATATATGATGATCAAAGCTGGGTAATTGGGATATCGACAATCTCAAATATTTATCATTTCTTTGTGTTGGCAACATTCCAAATCTTCTCTTCTAGCTATTTTGAAATGTATGATTAATTATTGTTAACTATAGTCACCTCATTGGGCTGTTGAAATCTAGATCTTATTCCTTCTACGCAACAAAATTTTTGTACCCATTAACTGACTCATCTTCTTCCCCACCTCCCCACTACTCTTCCCAGTCTCTGGTAACCCCAATCAACTCTCTACCTCCATGAGATCAATTTTTTTAGTTCCCACATAGGAGTGAAAACATGTATTGTCACTCTTTTGGCCAGAAACCTCTGTGGCCGGTGATGCCTTTGCCTGAGTTCTTATCCTGCATCCAGGAAGAATGAGGTATGCAGACAAGTGGACGATGAGCAAGATGAAGAGGAACTTCATTGAGTGTTAGAACAGCTCAGAGGAGACCTGCAGTGGGTAGCTCCCCTCTGTAGCCAGGTTGTCCCAGCAGGCCCTGGAGTGGGTGGCTCCTCTCTGCAACTGGTAGTCCCATGATCTCTCCATCCTCTGCCCTGCTCTGGCTGAGTTGGGGGCTTTTATGGACCTCGGAGAGGACAAAGTGCTCTGGGTCCATAGGCAGCCATGGGCTGGCTGGAAAAGGCACCACAAGTGCCCACTTGGACCCACAGGGACTGGCACCTGACCTGCAGCCTTCAGGCCCTCCCTGCCCTGAAGGTGGGGTCTTACAGGGACCGCTCCCTTTGCCCAGGAGCCTGTCTGCATCCCACTGTGCCACCAGCATCCATGGCACCCAGGCTGTTCTCACCAAGGGGCTTCTGCAGGCCAGTGCCAAGCCGCCCTCAGCCCCCACTTGGCTTCCACTCTCAGCGCCCCCTTGGCTTCCCCTCTCACGCTCGTGGGTGCCCAAATTCTGGAGGCAGCAGAGGCGGCAGAGGGCTGGCGTATAAGCACTGCCGCAAGCTTGAGCACACCCAGCTGGACTGCGACAGCATCCCTGCTCATCCCCAATCCCTGCTTTGATATTGGAGCCATGCTGGGAGAGGAGAGAGGCCAGGCAGAGGGAGAAGAAACCCGCGAGCCTGCTGGGACAGGGATGAGGAAGCCTTCCAGGGTCCCCAAGGGTGCAGACTGTAGAGACAGCTGCCTGGGTCCTGCACCTGGGAGGGCAGCTGCAGCTGCAGCTGCACCAGGGAGTTCTCGCCCTGCCAACTCAGAAGGGGCAGAGCTTCTGCTTATCACCGGCTCCTTGGAGCAGGAGGCCTGGGTCTGCAGCAGTGGGTCAGGCAGCTGCAGCTGCACCCGGGAGGGCAGGGCAGGGATCCTGCCTGCTCCCGGCCCACACAAGAGCACAGGGAGGCTCGGATCTGCAGCCACAACTTGGGTGGCTACAGCCTGTCCAGGAGAGCGGGGCTCCTGCCTGCTCCATGGAGCAGGAGGCCCAGGTCTACAGGCACGGTTTGGACGGCTGCAGCGGCACCCAGGAAGCTCCCGCCTTAACTCAGAAGGAGGGGGGTTCCTGCCTGTCCCGGCGTCCCGCTGCCTCCACGGAGCATGCAGCCCCAGCCGCACCTCCCCACTGCCTGGCTTATTTCACTTAACATAATGTTCGTACACTGATGAGGAATGTAAATTAGTACAGCCACTATGTAAAACAATATGGAGTTTCCCCCAGAACTAAAAATAGAACTAGCATATGATCCAGCAATTCCGCTGCTGCGTATATACCCAAAAGAAAGGAAATAAGTGTATCAAAGAGATATCTGCACTCCCATGTTTATTGCAGCACTGTTCACAGTAGCCAAGATGTGTAGTCAACCCAAGTGTCCATCAACAGATAAATAGATAAAGAAAATGTGGTGTATATATACACAATGGAATATTATTTAGCTATAAGAAAGAATGGATTTCTGTTATTTGCAGCAACATGGATAAAACTAGAGAACATTATGTTAATTTTCTTAGTTTTCATTACCCCAAACCCTTTGCCAATTTGTCTAAATCTCCTTTCAAGAGGTTCTGATGCATCAAATATTTCACTGGTTTCATCATCTAAAGAAATCCCTCTTGGTGCCTATGATCTGCTCCAACTGAACAGGTTTGCTCTCAGTGCCTGGTGACAGCTGTCAACTGGGGAACTCCCTTCACTATCCTGGTGCTTATCCTAGATCTCCTGTTTCCTGTGTCCTATGTCATTTTCATTTTTTGGTTATATTTTTGTTTCAGAAGAGCATATCTCTAGTAAATTCCTAGTAAAGATACGAAGGAATTTTGTTTCATTTTGTTTGCTTTTTCATTCTTTGCACGCCTGAAAATATTCCCATTTCCCATCTTGTATTTGATTTATCAGAAGTAGAATCTGGCCGGGCGCAGTGGCTCAGACCTGCCATCCTAGCACTTTGGGAGGCCAAGGCAGGCAGATCACCTGAGGTCAGGAGTTCAAGACTAGCCTTACCAACATGGCGAAATCCTGTCTCTTAACTAAAAATACAAAAATTAACCAGGTTGGTGGCACTGTAATCCCAGCTACTCTGGAGGCCAAGGCAGGAGAATCGCTTGAACCAGGGAAGTGGAGGTTGCAATGAGCTGAGATCGTGCCACTGCACTCCAGCCTGGGCGACAGTGAGACTTGTCTCAAAAAAAAAAAAAGAAGAAGAAGTAGAACCTAAACTAAGGAGACCTCACCAAAGACAGATTGGGAATATAAAAAGTGAGTGTAGAGATGAAAAAATTGTAGGGGAGTTTGAAAATTCAGGAGTGGATCCTGGAGGACTGCCTGAATACATTCACCTGAAATGAGACATTGAACTAGAAAGAAACTGAGATACCTTTAATTGGCTGCATTACATTCCTATTCCACTTCCACCCTCCCTCTGTAGAATGAGAGCTCAAGAGGAAGTTTAAGTCAGTGGTAGAAATTAAGGGATTGGCCGGAAATTGCTCAGCAATTTGGAAGCCCAAGGTGGGCCAATTAATTGAGCCCAGGAGTTCCAGACCAGCCTCGGGCAACATGGCAAAACCCCATCCCTACAAAAAAATACAAAACAGCTGGGTATGGTGGCATGCACCTGTAGTCCCAGCTACTCAGGAGGTTCAGGTGGGGGGATCACCTGAGCCTGGGGAGGAGGAGGAGGCTACAGGGAGCTGTGATTGTACCACTGCAATGCAGCCTGGGTGACAGAGCAAGACCCTGTCTCAAAAAAAGAAAAAGGAAGGAAAGAAGAAAAGAAAGAAGGAAGGAAAGAAAGAAAAAGAAAGAAAGAAGGAGTGCTGTATGTTTTGTATATCTGAGTTTGTTGTGGGCTCAAAGTTTACCCCTCCGCCATGTATATTTCTGACTTCCATTACTGTTTTTTTCCATAAAGAATACCTTTTACTTTTGTAATCAGAAAAAACAATACAGCTGTCTCCATTTGGTGGCAAAGTTTGAGAGAAACTGAAGAACACCTTGTAGAGGAGCATTTCCAAGGTATACAGTAGTTTCTTATCAATGAGTGATGAGGGAGTGGTGTGAATAGGAGAGGCTGTTGGATAAATGAAAGGTCAGTAGAAGGATCACACAGTTCTATTGAATATTATTCAACATTTTGCAGAGGTGTCTGGCTCTGTGCAGAAAGAATTGCCACAATTTTTCAAAGAACAACACAAAGATATAATAACTTTATTATGCCACTTATTTTCCTCCTAATGGAAACTTCATTCTCACTGGGTTCTTTGCAAACTCTCCTGTCTAGAGACAGGAGAAAATCATGTATAGAAACACAGTACAGAACAGAAATA
Source organism: Homo sapiens (assembly GCF_000001405.40). Taxonomy (NCBI): domain Eukaryota; kingdom Metazoa; phylum Chordata; class Mammalia; order Primates; family Hominidae; genus Homo; species Homo sapiens. The sequence goes on from NW_018654721.1 coordinate 126,871, forward strand.
ATAACTACCCCTGATTCCTATGTCTGAAGATTATAGCTACCAGAAGAATTTTTTTTTTTTAGACAGAGTCTCGCTGTCGCCCAGGCTGGAGTGCAATGGCATTATCTGGGCTCACTGCAAACTCTGCCTCCCAGGTTCAAGTGATTCTCATGCCTCAGCCTCCCAAGTAAGTGGGATTACAAATGCCTGCCACCACACCCAGCTAGCTAATTTTTGTATTTTTAGTAGAGTCAGGGTTTCACCATGTTGTCCAGGCTGGTCTTGAACTTCTGACCTCAGGTGATCTGCCTGTCTCGGCCTCCCAAAGTGTTAGGATTACAGGCATGAACCAGTGTCCAGCCAGAGTGATTCTGATTGGCCCAATCCCGCCTCCTTGAAATTGATCCTCCTCATTACTGTTAGAAAGGTCTAACTGAAATGCAAATGTAACAACATTTCCTTATAATTTAAAATAATTTACTGTCCTGTCAACTCCCTCCTCCATTGACTTAGCATGGTATATAAAGTCCTTTATGATCTGGTGCTTGTTGTCTCTTCTGTCACTTCCCTATTACATTTTATGCCTATAAATATCTCAATTTTTCTCTTTACTTTAGAAGAGATGAGAAAATGGAAGTATATCATAGCAAATTTGCTATATTTTTACCAGAACTAGTTAGCATTAGCCTGAAGTAACTGTGATAAAGAAGCATACTGCAATCCCTATAGCAATTGGTAAGAAAATTACTCAAATAAAAACTTAAGGCTGGACGTGGTGGCTCATACCTGTAATCCCAGCACTTTGGGAGGCTGAGGTGGGAGGATCATGAGGTCAGGAGATTGAGACCATCCTGGCTAACATGGTGAAACATCGTCTCTACTAAAAAATACAAAAAAATTAGCCGGGCGTGGTGGCAGGTGCCTGTAGTCCCAGCTACTCAGGAGGCTGAGGCAGGGGAATGGTGTGAACCCAGGAGGCGGAGCTTGTAGTGAGTGAGATCGCGCCACCGCACTCCAGCCTGGGTGAAAGAGCGAGACTCCGTCTCAAAAAAAAAAACAAAAACAAAACTTAAAAATGAACAAAGGAATTAAAAGAATACATTGAAAGATATTTGTTTAATGCAAAAGAAGGCAGTAACATTGGCACAGAGGAACAAAAATGACATGAAACACAATAGAAACAAATAGGAAAATGACAGGCATAAATCCAACCATACGAGTAATTACATTAAATGTACATGAATTAAACACTCCAATTAAAAGCAGAGATTATCAGATAAATAAATAGGGTTCAATTACATGCTGTCCATAAGAGATACTCTTTAGATTCAAAGATATAATGTAAATGTAAAACTATGGGAAAAATCATCTTAAGAGCTGGAGTCACCTGTAATCCCAACAATTTGGGATGCTGAGACAGGTGGATCACTTGGGGTCAGGAGTTCAAGACCAGCTTGGCCAACATGATGAACATGGCGAAACCCCATCTCTACTAAAAATACAAAACATTAGGCTGGCGTGGTGATGTGCACCTGCAATCCCAGCTACTCGGGAGGCTGAGGCATAAGAATCACTTGAACCCAGGAGGTGGAGGTTGCAGTGAGTGAAGATTGTGCCACTGCACTTCAGCCTGGGTGACAGAGCAAAACTCTGTCTCCAAAGAAAAAAAGAGCTGGAATAACTATATTTATATCAGATAAAATAGACTTTAAGATTTTTTTAGAAGTTACTATTGAAGAGAGGGATGTTTTATTTATTTGTTTGTTTGTTTGTTTGTTTGTTTTTTAGAGACAGGGTCTTGCTCTCTCGCCAAGGTTGGAGTGAGTGGCACAATCAGAGCTCACTGCAGCCTCAACCTCCCAGGCTCAAGTGATCGTGATCACCTGATCGTCCCACCTCAGCCTCCCAAGTAGCTAGGACTACAAGTGCGTGCTACCATGCCCAGATAATTTTTTATTTTTTGTAGAGATGGGGTCTCACTATGTTGCCCAGGCTGGTCTTGAACTCCTGGGCTCAAGGGATCCTCTCGCATCCACCTCCCAAGTGCTGGATTACAGGCTGAGCCACTGCACCAGCCTGAAATATTATTTTTTATCAAGTTTCACAAAAATGTAGAATATTATCATACTTTTTTTAAAGCTATATTATTAGCACACAGAACACTTCATTGTTGTTTTTTGGAGAAGAGGCACATTATGTCACTAATAGAATGTCCCCAAAGCTGGATTGATGTGGGCAAAACAGCTTTCTCTTTTAGATTTGAGAGACTTCCTCTTGGCTCCCAGGAGGAGGAATTTCCTGATGTTGACACACACAGCCACCTTGGCACAAATGTCTTAAGGTATGGAAAAACAAATTCATCTTTATGTCCACTTCTGCCTTCCCACCTTCTGAACAGACTTAACTCCCTTAAGCCCAGACAACTTTTGAGACCTGACCTCCAATAATTGATTACCTGTGTGTCAGGCAATCTGCAATCTGAACTTTCCAGTGATGCCACTAAGAAGGTGCACCTCAAAAGAGCAGCAGTTCCATTTCTACTGTCGATAAATTTCTACTGCAGATAAATTCTGCCATTTTCATTTTACTTCTTGAAAGTCGAGTTAGCTCTTGAAAAGTTGTCAAGCAACATGCTAAACGTGAAATGTCAACTCTCAACTTTCCCTATTCAGAGCATCAAACAAAGACTTCATTGAGTTTTTTAGGGGCTTTCTGATTTGGGTAGTCCATTGAAGAGGGGAGTTTGAAAGTTGTTGGGCTGGGCACAGTTGGCTCATGCCTATAATCCCAGGGCTTCCGGAGGCCAGAGCATGAGGATTGTTTGAGCCCAGGAATTCAAGACCAGCCTGGGCAACAAAATGAGGCCCCCCCCCAACTAAAAAATTAAAAAATTAGGCAGGCATGGTGGCACATGCCTTTGGTCTCAGCTACTTGAGAGGCTGAGGTTGGGAGGATCACTTGAGCCCAGGAGTTCAAAGCTGCAGTGAGCCATGATCATGCCACTGCACTCCAGCCTGGGCAACAGAATGAGACCCTGTCTTAAAAAAAAAAAAGAAAAAAGAAAGTTGTTGTAAACTGTTAAGAATTGTCTGCACATGTCCTGCCTGAAATACCATGGTACCAGGGTTGTTTGTGGAAAGTATCTTTAATAAAGCTGGATACAGATTTGCTTAGAAAAAAATTATAAACATATATCCTTCTAACAACAGAGCCCCAAATATATGAAGCAAAACTTGACAGAATTGAAGTGAGAAATACAATTCAACAATAACTGGAAACTTTATTTATTTTTGTTGTTGTTACAGAAACTTTATTTTTACTTTTTATTTTATTTTATTTTTGAGATGGAGTTTCATTCTCGTGCCCCAGGCTGGAGTGCAATGGTGCGATCTTGGCTCACCACAACCTCCGCCTCCTGAGTAGCTGGGATTACAGGCACGTGCCACCATGCGTGGCTAATTTTTATATTTTTAGTAGAGACAGGGTTTCACCATGTTGGCTAGGCTGGTCTCAAACTCCTGGCCTCAAATGATCCTCCCGCCTTGGCCTCCTAAAGTGCTGGGATTACAGATGTGAGCCACCGTGCCCAGCCATGTTATAGAAACTTTAAATATCCTATTCTCAAAAACGGAAGTAACAACTACACAGAAAATCTTACAACTCATTAAAAAGAATATAAACAATCAACTATAAAATGGATAGAATAGACATTTCACTAAAGAAAATATATAAATGTTTAATAAACTCATGAAAATGTGCTCAATTAATATCATGAACTATTAGAGAAATGCAAATTACAACCACAATAAAAATATAACTACACACTCACTGAAATGTGCTATGATCAAAGAGACAGCACATACCAGTATAAGTGAGCATATAAAGAAAGGGAACCCATACATTGCTGGTGGAATGTAAAATGGAATAGCCACTTTGGAAAACAATTTGGCAGTTACTTAAAAAGTTAAACGTAAGTTTATCATATGACCCAATAATTCTACTCCTAGATACTACCCAAAATAACTGAAAACATCTGCCTACACAAACACTTGTATGTGAACCGTTTTTATTTGTTTGTGACGGGGTCTTACTCTGCCTCCCAGGCTCAGGTGATCCTCCTACCTCAGCCTCCTGAGTAGCTAGGATCACAGCCATGTGCCACCACACCTGCCTAATTTTTTTATTTTTTATTTTTTGGCAAAGATGGTGTGATGGTTAATACTGAGTGTCAACTTGATTGGATTGAAGGATGCAAAGTATTGATCCTGGGTGCATCTGTGAGGGTGTTGCCAAAGGAGATTAACATTTGACTCAATGGGCTGGGGAAGGCAGACCCACCCTTAATCTGGGTGGGCACCATCTAATCAGCTGCCAGCGTGGATAGAATATAAAGCAGGCAGAAAAATGTGAAAAGCCTAGACTGGCCTCGCCTCCCAGCCTACATCTTTCTCCTGTACTAGATGTTTCCTGCCCTCAAATATCAGACTCCAGGTTCTTCAGTTTTGGGACTCGGACTGGCTCTTCTTGCTCCTCAGCTTGCAGATGGCCTATTGTGGGACCTTGTGGTCGTGTGAGTTAATACTTAATAGTTAATACTTAATAAACTCCCCTTTATATATATACATATATACACATACATACACACCCTATTAGTTCTGTCCCTCTAGAGAACTAATACAGATGGGGGTCTCACTTTGTTGCCCAGGGTGGTCTCAAACTCCTGGATTACAAAGTAAGTAATCCTCTCACTTTGGCCTCCCAAAATGCTGAGATTACAAGCATGAGCCACTGTGCCCAGCAACGTGAATGTTCACAGCAGTGTGATTCATAATAGCCAAGAAGTGGAAACAACCCAAAAGTCCATCCGATGGTGAATGGGTCATACAATACTGCATGTCTACAGAATACAATTAAAGAGAACAAACTATTAACACAATGTGGATGAACATCAAACACCTCATGCTCTGTGGAAGAAATCAAACAGAAAGACTACTTATTTTATAATTGCATTACATTAAATGTTTAGAAAAGGCAAATTTATAGAAACAGAAAGCAGATCTGTGGCAGTCTAGGGTGAGGATAGGAGTGGGGATTAACCATAAATGAGTACAGAGGAAATTGTTAGAATGTTGGAAATGTTCTAAACATTTTAGTAAATATCAAAATCTGTCCAAGGTTGTGCAGCTAATAAGTAGCAAGCCAGGATTCAAATCCAGGCATTTGGTTCCAGTGGCCATTCTCTTACCTCTCTGCTAATATAAATCAAATGTTGATGATATTTGGCCAGGCACAATTGCTCACACCTGTAATCTGAGCACTTTGGGAGTCCACTGCAGGCAGATCACAAGGTCAAGAATTTGAGACCAGCCTGGTCAACATGGTGAAACCCCATCTCTACTAAAAATACAAATATTAGCTGGGCATGGTGGCACACACCTGTTCCCAGCTACTTGGGAGGCTGAGGCAGGAGAATCGCTTGAACCCGGGAAGCAGAGGTTACAGTAAGACGAGATCTCGCCGCTGCACTCCAGCCTGGGCAACAGAGCAAGACTCTGCCTCAAAAAAAAATTTTTGTTTTGATGAGATTTTAAAAGGTTTGATAAAGAAGAATCATTCAGAATCTCTCCTGAAGTTGAAAATGTATAACGTATTAAATTTGGTAGTACAAAGCATGGGAAGATATATGTTTTCCAATTTTAAGAAAATAATAAAAATGCTTTATCAGTCTTCTAGACACAAATAAGGAAGAATACCTTGCCTTTTTTTTTCTTCTAGTTGTACGGCAGGAGGCAATATATATACAAAAAAGATAATGGGCCTTAGAAAAGATATAACTCAGATTTCAAGGCTGCAGAGCACTATGATTACAGCTGTAAATTGGCATTATGCTCCAGCCTGGGCAACATAGCGAGACCCATTTTAAAAAAGAAATAGGCACTTTGGGAGGCCGAGGAAGGCAGATCACGAGGTCAGGAGTTGGAGACCAGCATGGCCAATATGGTGAAACCCTATCTCTACTAAAGATACAAAAAATTAGCCGGGTGTGGTGGCGTGCGCCTCTAGTCCCAGCTACTCGGGAGGCTGAGGCAGAAGAATCGCTTGAACCCAGGAGGTGGAGGTTGCAGTGAGCCAACCTCGTGCCACTGCACTCCAGCCTAGGTAACAGAGTAAGACTTCATCTCAAAAAAAAAAAAAAAAGAAAAGAAAAGAAAAAGGAAAAGAAATAGGCTGGACGTGGTGGCTCATGCACTTTGAGAGGCTGAGGTGGGCAGATCACCTGAGGCCAGGAGTTTGAGACCAGCCTGGTCAACATGGTGAAACCCTGTAAAAATACAAAAAATTAGCTGGGCATGGTGGCGTGTGCCCGTAATGCCAGCTACTAGGGAGGCTGAGGCAGGAGAATTGCTTGAACCCAGGGGGCGGAGGTTGCAGTGAGCCAAGATCACACCACTGCACTCCAGCTTGGGTGAGAGAGTGAGACTCAGTCTCAAAAAAATAATAATAATAATTGAGATTTGGTCTCTGACTCTGCTACTTAACCATTTGATGTTGACAAGTTATTCAACTTGTTTGGAGCCTAATTTCTTATCTATAAAAACAGATGCAACCTGCTCACTGCAACCTCCACCTCTTGGGTTCAAGCAATTCTCCTGTCTCAGCCTTCTGAGTAGCTGGGATTACAGGCATGCGCCACCACACCCGGCTAATTTTTGTATTTTCAGTAGAGACGGGGTTTCGCCATGTTGGCCAGCCTGGTCTCGAACTCCTGACCACAAGTGATCCACCCGCCTTGGCCTCCCAAAGCGATGGGATTACAGGTGTGAGCCACCACGCCCAGCCAGATGTAATAATTTCTACACATCAGGATTGTATGTGTGAAACACAGTATGAATTAATGCATGCAAAATCTTAGCACAATACCTTGCTCATAGTAGACACTGAAGAAGTGAGAGATTTTTCTAGCCATCAGGATTCTTCTAAACATTAGAACCAGTCATGTATTCCACAGAGGGACAGGGCAATTTGCTAGGACTTCTTAGCAAAACTAAACTTGAAAAAGAACAAAGAACAATTCAGAACTTATTCAGTGGCTAGATATATTCAATATATTTGTTTTATTTGATCTAGGTTAGCATATTAAACACCTCTTTTCTTGCATCTATATTTTTTGAGGCAAGGTCTTGCTCTGTCACCCAGGATAAAGTGCAGCTCACTGCAGCCTCCATCTCCTGGGCTCAAGCAGTCATCCCATCTCAGCCTCCTAAGTATCTGTGACTATGGGTGCACACCACCACGCTCAGCTGTTTTTTTGGTTGTTTGTTTTTTCAACTAGAGATAAGGTCTCACTATGTTGCCCAGGATCGTCTCAAACTCCTAAACTCAAACAATCTTCCCACCCTGTCCTCCCAAAGTGCAAGAATTACAGGTGTGACCCTCTGCATCTAGCTTTCTTGCATACGTCTTATCTAGAAACCTTAACTTGTTTTTTTTTTTTTCTTTTTTTTTTTTGAGACAGTATTTCTCTCCTGTCTCCCAGGCTGGAATGCAGTGGTATGGTCTCGGCTCACTACAACCTCCGCCTCCTAGGCTCAAGCAACCCTCCTGCCTCAGCCTCTCGAGTAGCTAGTACTACAGGCATGTACCACCATACCCAGCTAATTTTTGTATTTTTAGTAGACACGGGGTTTCACCATGTTGGCCAGCCTAGTCTCAAACTCCTGACCTCAAGTGATCCACCTGCCTTGGTCTCCCAAAGTGCTGAGATTACAGGCATGAGCCACCACACCTGGCCTGAAAACCTTACTTTAATCTCCTTCTCCTATTTTCTGGACTCTACCCTGGGGTCTAAGAGATATTATTTCACTATTATCTCCAAGCATGTTTAAGAGGTATGATTAGAGCAACACCCATCTGTATGGCTACTGTCAAAACAATTCATGAGAGTTCTAATGGAGGGAAAAAAGGTGGGTAGGAACAGGCCTTGTTCGCTTGTCCAAATGGGTTCTGTGGATGCCAGAGATGACCCGATATCCTGCTGAACAACTCTTCATGGGTCCCAGGGTCCTGCTCACACAAGTCACCAAGAACATTTTCTAAATATAGATGCTGGAAACCTTTTCTATCAATGGCACTGACCTGTATTTAGGAAACAAACACTTAAAGGACAAATGTGCTTTGTTTTGTTTTGTTTTTATGAGACAGACTTTCGCTCTGTCATCCAGCCTGGAGTGCAGTGGCGCAATCTCTGCTCACTGCAACCTCCACCTCCCGGGTTCAAGCAATTCTTCTGTCTCAGCCTCCCAAGTAGCTGGGATTACAGGCATGCACCACCATGCCTGGCTAATTTTCGTATTTTTAGTAGAGACGGGGTTTTGCCATGTTGGCCAGGCTGATCTTGAACTCCTGACCTCAAGTGATCTGCCCGCCTAAGTCTCTCAAAGTGCTGGGATTACAGGCATGAGCCACAGCACCCTGCCAATAAATGTTTTAAAACTTTTTTTTTTTTTTTTTGGCCGGGCGCGGTGGCTCATGCCTATAATCCCAGCACTTTGGGAGGCTGAGGCAAGTGGATCACGAGGTCAGATCGAGACCATCCTGGGCAACACAGTGAAACCCCGTCTCTACTAAAAAAACAAAACAAAACAAAAAAATTTAGCCGGGCGTGGTGGCGGGCACCTGTAGTCCCAGCTACTCTGGAGGTTGAGGCAGGAGAATGGCGTGAACCTGGGAGGCAGAGCTGGCAGTGAGCCACTGCACTCCAGCCTGGGCGACAGAGAGAGACTCTGTCTCAAAAACAAACAAACAAAAAAGACTTTTTGTTTTTCTAATTGACAAAAACAAAAATGTTTCGTTTATTTGGTAAATTACTCAAGTATTTCTTCCAGTAGATGTCAGTGTCGCACTTGAAAAATGAACTTTCACTTTTATAATATGAAAGTTAAATTCTTTTAGCCCTGGGATGGCATCTTTCTTTCGCTCTAATAGAAGATACTGCCAGATGATCCAGACTGATCTTATCCTCAGATAATTTCCTTCAACGGGACATCAGGAAGGAATTTGTTGTACAGAATTGAAGATTTGGCAAGAAGATCTAGACGCATCCAAAGTCTCCTAGAGAATGACACTTTTAAAATAAGAACTCTAGTTAAAAAACAAACAAACAAAAACTCTTAATTTTCCTGTTAGCCTGTTCATTTGAGGTTCTTTTGGTGAGCCCTTTAACTCTGTGACCTGTGTTATGTTTCCATCCTAGAACAAGCTTTCTTCTGAGGATGAAAAGCAATTAGTCTCTGATTTTCTTACAGAAAGTATAATAATAGGTTTTTTGGTTTTTTTTTTGAGACGGAGTCTCCTTCTGTTGCCCAGGCTGGAGTACAGTGGTGCTCCAGCTCACTGCAACCTCTGCCTCCCACGTTCAAGTGATTCTTCAGCCTCAGCCTCCTGAGTAGCTGGAATTACAGGCATCTGCCACCCAAAGTGGTGGGATCACAGGTGTGAGCCTCCCAAAGAGCTGGGATCTTTTGTATTTTTAGTACAGATGGGGTTTCTCTCTAATTTTGTATTTTAGTAGAGACTAGGTTTCACCATGTCTGCCAGGCTAGTCTCAAAACTCCTGACCTCAACTGATCCGCCTGCCTTGGCCTCTGAAAGTGCTGGGATTATAGGCATGAGCCACCGCACCCAGCCATAATAATACTTCAGTTCAAAAACTAGAATGTTTTGTAGCCATAAAAAAGAAAAAGATCATGTATTTTGTGGGAACATGGATGGAGCTGGAGGCCATTATTCCTAGCAAACTAATGCAGGAACAGAAAACCAAATACCACATTTTCTCACTTGTAAGTGGGAGCTAAATGATGAGAACTTATGAACACAAAGAAGGAAGCAGACACTGTGATCTACTTGAGGGTGGAATCTGGGAGGAGGGAGAGGAGCAGAAAAGATAAGCATTGGGTACTGGGCTTAATACCCGAGTGATGAAACAATCTGTACAACAAACCCCTGTGACATGAGTTTACCTATGTAACAAACCTTCACAGGGACCCCCAAACCTAAAAAGTTAAAAAATAAAATAAATGATAATGTTAAACATTTCTCTATTCAAGGAATTATGAAGATAAGTAAGCATATTCTTTTTCTTTCCCTGTTGTATTTATTAACAAAATAGAAATAAAAATCTCTTTAGAAAATTGTTTTTGAGCTCTATGCCTGAAGTTATATGGAAGTATAACAGATGGGAGCACAGTGGGATTCTTGCAGAGTGCCTGCCAGATATGACACATGCTACACAGAGAGCAGAAAGGGTTTCTTAATGCAGAGTCAAAAGGTTACTCATAAAAAAGACAACAAATACGGTGCAGTGTATACTGCTTGGGTGATGGGTGCACCAGATTCTCACAAATCTCCACGAAAGAACTTACTCATGTAACCAAATACCACCTGTACCCCAATAACTTACGGAGAAATAAAATTTAAAAAAAAAGATAAACTGGGCGTGGTGGCTCACGCCTGTAATCCCAGCACTTCAGGAGGCTGAGGCAGGCAGATCACCTGAGGTCGGGAGTTCGAGACCTCGAGACCAGCCTGACCAACATGGAGAAGCCCCATCTCTACTAAAAATACAAAATTAGCTGGGCATGGTGGCGCATGCCTGTAATCCCAGCTACTCAGGAGGCTGAGCCAGAAGAATCACTTGAACCCGGGAGGCAGAGGTTGTGGTGAGATTGCGCCATTGCACTCCAACCTGGGCAACAACAGTGAAACTCCATCTCGAAAAAAAAAGTAGTATAAAGAAATAAAACCCTAGAAATAGAAGAAAAGGATAATTCTATTTAAAATTTAGGTTAACCTTAATTTATTCGTCTTAAGAAGGTCTTTTTAAACAATACATGAAAGGCAAAAGCAATAAAATACTGAAAATTTTTAATTCATCTAAATATAAAAACTTAAAAACATTTAAGTTTTTATAAGTATAAAGAAATAAAACCCTAGAAATAGAAGAAAAGGATAATTCTATTTAAAATTTAGGTTAACCTTAATTTATTCATCTTAAGAAGGTCTTTTTAAACAATACATGAAAGGCAAAAGCAATAAAATACTGAAAATTTTTAATTCATCTAAATATAAAAACTTAAAAACTTTTTTTATAAGTATAAAGAAATAATACCCTAAAAATAGAAGGAAAGGATAATTCTATGTTGTTGTTACTATTATTATTATTTGAGATGAAGTCTTGCTCTGTCACCCAGGCTGGAATGCAGTGGCATAATCTTGGCTTACTGCAACCTCCGCCTCTCGTGTTCAAGTGATTCTCCTGCCTCAGCCTCCCAAGTAGCTGGGATTACAGGCGCACGCCACCACACCTGGCTAATTTGTGAATTCTTAGTAGAGGTGGGGCTTCACCATGTTGGCCAGGATGGTCTCAAACTCCTGACCTCAGGTGATCTGCCTGCCTCTGGCTCCCAAAGTGCTGGGATTACAGGTGTGAGCCACTGCACTCAGCTGATAATTCTATTTTAAATTTAGGTTAACCTTAATTTATTCTTCTTAAGAAGTTTTTTTAAAATAATATATGAAAGACAAAAGCAATAAAAGACTGAAAAAAATTTAATTCATCTAAATATAAAGCATTTAAAAAAAAAAAAAGGCTATTTGGCCAGGTGTGGTGGCTTACCCCTGTAATCCCAGCACTTTGGGAGGCCGAGGCGTGCAGATCACGAGGTCAGGAGATCGAGACCATCCTGGCCAACCCCATCTCTACTAAAAATACAAAAATTAGCCAGGTGTGGTGGTGTGCACCTGTAATCCCAGCTACTTGGGAGGCTGAGGCAGGAGAATCGCTTGAACCCGGGAGGCGGAGGTTGCAGTGAGTCAAGATCATGCCACTGAACTCCAGCCTGGTGACACAGCAAGACTCCATCAAAAAAAAAAAAAAAAAAAAAGCTATTCATGCTTTTACCAACAAACAAGGGAAAGATAATAGTCACAGTTCTGATCTTTGCTAACTTGCACCATGTAGATTACCAAACTGTTTTGAGGAGAAATTAGATGAATCAAAAATCCCCAAATGCTTGGAAATTGAGCAAAATACATTCAAAAAACAGGTAGATTAAAGAAGAAAACATAATGGACATTTTAAACTATTTTGAATGAAACGTGACAAAAATATAACATAACAAAATTTGTGAAATACAGCTAAAATAGTGCTCAGAGGGAAAATATAGCTTTCAATATAATATTAAAAATCAAAGGTTAGTCTGGGCAACATATGGGCCCTGTCTTTACAAAAAATAATAATAATAATTAGCCACGGTGGCATGCACCTGTAGTTCCAGCTACTCAGGTAACTGAGGTGGGAGGGTGGCTTGAGCCCAGGAGCTCAAGGCTGCAGTAAGCAGAGATCATGCCACTGCCCTCCAGCCTGGATGACCGGGTGAGACCTTGTCTCAAAAGAAAAAAAAAAAAGAAAGAAAAGACAAAGAAAGAAAAAAAAAGATTGTCAGTTATCTGAGCCTCCATATCAATAGTGTATTTTTTTTTAAAGAAACTGAAGCCAAAATTAATGTAACTAGAAAGTTTATTTTGGCTAAGGTTGAGGACTACGGCCAGGGAATCCGAGATTAATGTTACCCTGAATATATGCTTTAATTAGCAGCAGTTACAAGTGGGTTTATACAGGAAAAAAGAGAAGTTAGAGTGCAGTCCCTAAAGTGTTTACCAAGAATTAACATTGGTTCTCTAAAATAAGTAAGCTATTGATTGGCTTATGATACATTGTTCTTGTATCACAAAACCCAGGAACATGAAGATAATAAGTTGGGGTTACATTGTGCTATTTGTGGTAACATTTTAGGAAAACAAAACAATTACCTCCAGGCATGGCTGCAGGGGATATGATTGAAGCCTGGTGTTCATGTCTCTGTGGGCCTGATAAATTTTGAATATTTCACATTCCTTAGACTGTGCTGAGCCACTTTTCTTTCTCAAAAGCAAAAATTATAAATAACTGAAATAAAAAGTGGACATTGATATTGTCAACTTTAAATAACAAGATTCAGAAAATATGATTAAATACAGAGTTTGAGAATAGACATCCAGGAAGCACAGATTCCAAATAATGGAAGACAGTATTCCAAAGTGTAGAAGTTTGGGATTATTTATATAGACAAGGTTTAGGGAAGCTTAATAGAATTTCAACATCTTTTATGTAAGGGTTAATGCATAGTTACAATAATTTGATCGAAGTGGGCTTTTTCTTTCAAGAAAGGTATGTTTAACATTCCACACAGAAGATGAAACAGTCATGGGGTCTTTTGTGCCATCTGTTCTGAATTAGGTACAGGACAATAAAGGAGGCGGTTAACCTATGACGAAGGTCATTGATTTGAAGGGGAAGTTGTCTGGTCTCTGGTCTTTCCTAGTCATTTACAGAACAAGAAGCATGAGAAAGAGACTCAATCTATAATATAATATTATTTTATTTTATTATTTTATTTTATTTTATTGAGACAGAGTCTCACTCTGTTGCCCAGACTGGAGTGCAGTGGCACGATCTCGGCTCACTGCAACCTCTACCTCCCAGGTTCAAGCGATTCTGCTGCCTCAGCTTCCCGAGTAGCTGGGATTACAGGTGCCCATGATCATGCCCTACTAATTTTTGTATTTTTATTAGAGACAGGGTTTCATCATGTTGGCCAGGCTAGTCTTGAACTCCTGACCTCAGGTGATCCACCCGCCTTGGCCTCCCAAAATGCTGGGATTACAGGAGTGAGCACCACACCTGGCCTAATCTATAAGAAGCAGAAGTTACAACTCCATGCTACATGACTCGGATCGGCCATGTCTCTCTCAAGTCTTGAAGTGTTTTTGGAGTTCCAGCAGCTTCTAAATTTTATTTTCACACTATATATCCTACATGCCTTTAAAAAATAAAATATTATGAATAACTGCATCCCAATAAAATGTGACAATTAGATCAGAAGGACAAATTACTTGATTTTAAAAATTACTAAGACTGATGAAAGAAGAAATTTAAAAGCTGAATAGTTCTAAATACATAAGAAAAACAGGATTTAACATTTGACACCTTTCCACCATGTGTATGGCATAGACAGAGAAAAGAAATATGAGCAAAGGCATTGTTGAGAGAGCTGTTTAGGCAAAGCGGACAGTCAATGTACGAGAGGTCTGAAAACAGGACCTGAAATTTAGGTACTTTGAACTGTGGGGTTACCGTTAATAGTGAGAATAAAGCAGAGTAACCCAAGTCCTGAAAGAACAGGGCAAAGCCAGACTAGCAGCTAAAGTGTCACTTGAGCTACTGAATTATATTGCCTTCAGTTCTTCACATTAAAGGACAAGATTGGTCTCTGGTCCTGATCTGGGGCTAGGTTTTTCAATGGGAGTGAATTAACTCTAGCTGTGTGATGAATGTTAAAAGAAAAACTTAAGAAAATTAAATTTAACAGAGTTTGACTGAGCAAAGAATGATTTGAGTATTGGTCAGGTCTCTGAACCAGGATAGGTTCAGGGCAACTTCAGGGCTGCCACATGGCCAGATAATATTTATGGACAGAAAAAGGAAAATGAGGTACAGAGAAACATGAGGTATAGAAACAGCTAGATTGGTTACAGCTTGGTGTTTGCCTTATTTGAACATGGTTTGAACAGTTAGCTGTCTGTGACTAGCCAAAACTCTGTGATTGGCACAAGAGTAGGTTAGTCTGTTTACACTTCCAGTTCAGTTACAGTTCACTGTGTACAGAGAAAACTTTAAGCTGAGCTTAAAATATGTAAGAAGGCACTTTTAGGCTAAACTTAATTTAACATGAAGTTAGAATAAAGTGAAAATAATGCATACTTATTTTATTGTACATTGAGGGAGTTTCAAGGTGATGGGGTTCAGGACATGCTACCCCAAAATATGTCACCTTGGCATACTGAAAAATGGCAGAAGCCTTTGGCATAAGGATTATTTTGAGCTCATTATTTTGAGAGACTGCAGCTACAGGAGAAGCTTAGAAAACAAGAGCAGAAGTCATACTTTTCTTTCTTATGTATTTATTTATTTCTCCATGAAGACCTAGAAGTCACACTTTTCTTTCTTTTTAATGTATTTCTCCATGAAGGCCCAGAAGTCACACTAAGAGAAATTTACATCTATAGAGGAAATTTCCATTCACAAGCATGTCTCCATTTGTAACCATGTCTCTCCTCCCACTTTATACCAGAAAGAGAAAGATGACTCTAAGTCACTACAGACTCTTATCAATGGAGAAGGCACCAATGTAAATCTGCATAACAAACATGACCCTGATTTACCATGCTTTTCCTGATCACCTCCTCATAATCAGGCTTTCCCACACCCTCTTTCTTTGTTTCCATTGAAGATTTTTTTTTTTTTTTGCTTCCAAATTTTATTTTAGGTTCAAGGGATACATGTGCAGGTTTGTTACATGGGTAAATTGCATGTCACAGGGGTTTGGTTTATTAATTATTTCATTACCCAGGTAATAATCATAGTTCCTGATAGATAGCTTCTCCATCCTCACCTTCCTCCCACCTTTCACCTTCAAGTAGGCCCCCTTGTCTGTTGTTCCCTTCTTTGTGTCCATGTGTACTCAGTGTTTAGCTCCCACTTATAAGTGAGAACTTGCAGTGTTTGGTTTTCTGTTCCTGTATTAATTTGTTTAGAATAATGGCCTCCAGCTCTGTCCATGTTGCTGCAAAGAACATTATTTCATTCTTTTTTATGGCTGTGTAGTATTCCATGGTGTATATCTGCCATGTTTTCTTTATCCAGTGACCATCAATAGGCATTTAGATTGAGTTCATGTCTTTGCTATTTTGATAGTGTTGTGATGAACATACGCGTGCATGTGTCTTTATGATAGAATAATTTATATTCCTTTGGGTATTTACGCAGTAATAGGATTGCTGGGTCAAATGATAGTTCTGAGGTTTTTTTCTTTCTTTTTTTTTGAGACAGAGTCTCGCTCTGTTGCCCAGGTTGGAGTGCAGTGGCGCGATCTTGGCTTACTGCAAGCTCCGCCTCCCAGGTTCACGCCATTCTCCTGCCTCAGCCTCCCAAGTAGCTGGGACTACTGGCGCCCACCACCATGCCCGGCTAATTTTTTGTATTTTTAGTGGAGATGGGGTTTCACTGTGTTAGCCAGGATGGTCTCGATCTTCTGACCTTGTGATCTGCCTGCCTCGGCCTGCCAAAGTGCTGGGATTACAGTCATGAGCCACTGCACCCAGCCTCATTTTTGTTATTGTTTTGTTTTTTGTTTTTTTCTGAGACAGGGTCTTGCTCTGTGGCCCAGGCTAGAGTACAGTGGCACGCTCATAGCTCACTGCAGGCTCAACCTTCCAGGCTCAAGGGATCCTCTACCTGAGCTTCCCCAACAGCTGGGACCACAGACGCATGCCACATGCCTGGCTAATTTTTTATTTTCTGTAGAGATGGAGTCTTAGTATGTTACCCAGGCTTCTCTCCAACTCCTGGCCTCAAATGATTCTCCCACCTCAGCCTCCCAAAGTGATGGGATTACAGGTGTGAGCCACTGCATCCAGCTGGTAGTTCTGCTTTAAGTTCTTTGAGAAATCTCCAAACTACTTTCCACAGTGGTTAAGCTAACTTACATTCCCACTAGCAGTGAATCAGTGTTCCCTTTTCTCTGCAATCTCATCAGCATCTGTTATTTTTTGACTTTTTAATAATAGCCATTCTGACTGGTAGTATCTCTTTGTGGTTTTGACTTGCATTTCTCATTTTTGTTTTTGTTTTTTAGAGTTGGGGTCTCACTATGTTGCCCAGGCTGGTCTTGAACTCCTGGGTTCAAGTGATCCTCCCACCTCAGCCTACCGAAGTGCTGGATTACAGGTGTGAGCCACTATGCCCAGCCGATTTGCATTTATCTAATGATTAGTGATGATGAGCATTTTTTCACATGCTTGTTGGCCATGTGTATGTCTTCTTTTGAGAAGTGTCTGGTCATGTTCTTTGCCCATTAATATGGTTTGGCTCTGTGTTCCCACCAAAATCTCATGTTGAATTGTAATCCCCTGTGTTGGAGGAAGTACCTGATGGGAGGTGATTGGATTGCACGGGCAGATCTCCCCCTTGCTGTTCTCATGATGGTGAGTGAGTTCTCACGAGATCTGGTTGTTTGAGAGTATGTAGCACTTCCCCCTTCACTCTTTCTCTCCTGCTCCACCATGGTAAGATGTGCTTGCTTCCCCGTTGCCTTCCACCATGATTAATAAATTTCCTGAGGCCTCCCAGCCATGCTTCCATGTCATGTTGGGCCTGTGGGTGCACAGAAGGCAAGGGTTGAGATTTGGGACCCTTCGCCTAGATTTCAGAGAAGGTATGGAAATGCCTGGATGTCCAGACAGGAGTCTGCTGGAGGGGCAGAGCCCTCATGGAGAACCTCTACTAGGGCAGTGTGGATGGGAAAGGTGGGGTTGTAGCTCCCACAGTGTCCCCACTGGGGCATTGCCTAGTGGAGTTGTGTGAAGAGAACCACCATCCTCTAGACCTCAAAATGGTAGATTCACTGACAGCTTCCACTGTGCACCTAGAAAAGCCACAGGCACTCAATGTTAACCTATGAAAGCAGCTGCAGGGGCTTTACCCTGCAGAGCCACAGGGGAGGAGCTGCCCAAGGCTTTGTGAGCCCACTCTTTGCATCAGCATGCCCTTGGAAGTGAGTCTTTCCCTGTTTGGAGTCATAGGAGATTATTTTGGAGCTTTAAAATTTAATGACTGCCCTGCTGAGCTTCAGACTTGCATGGGGCCTGTCATGCCTTTGTTTTGGTCAATCTCTCTCTTTTGGAACAGAGGCATTTACCCAATGCCTGTACCCCCACTGTATCTAAGTAGTAACAAACTTGTTTTGTTTTGTTTTGGTTTGGTTTTTTTTGAGATGGAGTTTTGTTCTGTCGCCCAGCCTGGAGTGCAGTGGCGCAATCTCGGCTCACTGCAACCTCTGCCTCTCAGGTTCAAGTGATTCTCCTGCCTCAGCCTCCTGAGTAGCTGGGATTACAGGCATGTGCCACCACACCCAGCTAATTTTTGTATTTTTAGTAGAGACGGGGTTTCACTATGTTGGCCAGGCTGGTCTTGAACTCCAGCTCTCAGGTGATCTGCTCGCCTCAGCCTCCCCAGGTTCTGGGATTACAGGCATGAGCCACTACATCCGGCCACAGACTTGTTTTTGATTTTACAGGCTCACAGGCAGAAAGAACTTCCCTTATGTCAGATGAGACATTGGACTTGTACTTTTGAGTTAATGATAAAATTAGCTAAGGCTTTGGTTGACTGTTGGGAAGGCATGATTATGTTTTAAAATGTGAGAAGAACATGATATTTGGAAGGGGCCAGGAGTGGAATGATATGGTTTGATTCTGTGCCCGGAATTGGTGGGTTCTTGGTCTCACTGACTTCAAGAATGAAGCCGCAGACCCTCGCGGTGAGAATTACATCTCTTAACGTGGCGCGTCTGGAGTCTGTCCCTTCTGATGTTCAGATGTGTTCGGAGTTTCTTCCTTATGGTGGGTTCGTGGTCTCGCTGGCTCAGGAGTGAAGCTGCAGACCTTCGCGGTGAGTGTTACAGCTCTTAAGTCAGCGTGTCTGGAGTTGTTCGTTCCTCCTGGTGGGCTCGTGGTCTCCCTGGGCTCAGGAGTGAAACTGCAGATCTTCGCGGTGAGTGTTACAGCTCATAAAAGCAGCGTGAACCCAAAGAGTGAGCAGTAGGAAGATTTATTGCAAAGAGCGAAAGAACAAAACTTCCACAGTGTGGAAGGGCACCTGAGCAGGTTGCCAATAATGGCTCAGGCAGCCTGCTTTTATTCTCTTATCTGGCCCCACCCACATCCTGCTGATTGGTAGAGCCGAGTGGCCTGTTTTGTCAGGGTGCTGATTGGTGCGTTTACAATCCCTGCGCTAGATACTAAGGTTCTCCACCTCCCCACCAGACTCAGGACCCCAGCTGGCTTCACCTAGTGGATCCCCCACCGGGGCTGCAGGTGGAGCTGCCTGCCAGTCCAGCGCGGTGCGCTCGCACTCCTCAGCCTTTGGGTGGTCGATGGGACTGGGCGCCATGGAGCAGGGGGTGGTGCTAGTCGGGGAGGCTCGGGCGGCACAGGAGCCCATGGAGTGGGTGGGAGGCTCAGGCATGGCGGGCTGCAGGTCCCGAGCCCTGCCCCGCAGAAAGGCAGCTAAGGCTCGGTGAGAAATCGAGCGCAGTGCCGGTGGGCTGGCACTGCTGGGGGACCCAGTACACCCTCCGCAGCCACTGGTCCGGGTGCTAAGTCCCTCATTGCCCGGGGCAGCAGGGCTGGCCGGCTGCTCCGAGTGCGGGGCCCGCCAAGCCCATGCCCGCCCGGAACTCCAGCTGGCCTGCAAGCACGCACACAGCCCCGGTTCCTGCTCGCGCCTCTCCCTCCACACCTTCCTGCAAGCTGAGGGAGTGGGCTCAGGCCTTGGCCAGCCCAGAAAGGGGCTCCCATAGTGCAGCGGTAGGCTGAAGGGCTCCTCAAGTGCCGCCAAAGTGGGAGCCCAGGCAGAGGAGGTGCCGAGAGCGAGCGAGGACTGTGAGGACTGCCAGCATGCTGTCACCTCTCAGTTCTATGTCCCTGCCAAAATCTCATGTTGAATTGTAATCCTTTGTGTTGAGGGAGAGATCTGGTAGGAGGTCATTCGATCATCAGGGCAGATTTCCTCCTTGCTGTTTTCATGATGGTGAGTAAGTTCTCACAAGATCAAGTTGTTTGAAAGTGTGTGGCACTTCCCCCTTCACTCTCTGTCTCCTGCTCCGCCATGGGAACTTGTTCTTGCTTCCCATTCACCTTCTGCCATGATTATAAGTTTCCTGAGGCATCCCAGCCATGCTTCCTGTACAGCCTGTGGAACTGTGAGTCAATTAAACCTCTTTTCTTCATAAATTACCCAGTCTCAGGTAGTTCTTTACAGGAGTGTGAGAATGAACTAATACACCCATTTTTTAATCAGTTTAATTTGGTTTTTGTTTTTCGAATTAAGTTCCCTATAGGTTCTGGATATTAGAACTTTGTCAGATCATGGTTTGCATTTTTTTTTCCTTCCGTGGGTTGTCCGTTTACTCTGTTGATAGTTTCTTTTGCTGTGCAGAAGCTCTTTAGTTTAATTAAGTCCCATTTGTCAATTTCTGTTTCTATTGCAATTGCTTTTGGAGTCTTTGTCTTGAAATCGACGATGACCTATATCCAGAATGGTATTTCCTAGGTTTTCTTTTCTTTTCTTTTCTTTTCCTTTCTTTTCCTTTTTTTGAGTTGAAGTTTCGCTCTTGTTGCCCAGGCTGGAGTGCAATGGCGCGATCTTGGCTCACCACAACCTTTGCCTCCCGGGTGCAAGCAATTCTCCTGCCTCAGCCTCTTGAATAGCTGTGATTACAGGCATGTGCCACCATGCCCAGCTAACTTTGTATTCTTAGTAGAGATGGGCGTTTCTCCATGTTGGTCAGGCTGATCTCGAACTCTCGAACTCAGGTGATCCGCCCGCCTTGGCCTCCCAAAGTGCTGTGATTACGGGTGTGAGCCACTGTGCCCAGCCTTCCTAGGTTTTCTTCTAGGGTTTTTATAGTTTCATTAGGTTGGTGCAAAAGTAACTGTGGTTTTGCCATTACTTTGAATGGTTTTACATTTAAGCCTTTAATCTATCTTGAGTTGATTTTTGTGTATGATAAAAGGAAGGGATCCAGGTTCAATCTTCTGTATAAGGCAGCCAGTTATCCCTGCACCATTTATTGAATAAGGAGTCCTTTTCCTGTTGCTTGTTCTTGTCAGCTTTGTCAAAGATCAAATGATTGTAGGTGTGCAACTTTATTTCTGGGTCCTCAAACCTGTTTCATTGGTCTGTGTGTCTCTTTTTGTACCGATACCGTACTAGCCTTGTAGGATAGTTTGAAGTTGGATAGTGTGATGCCTCTGGCTTTGTTCTTTTTGCTTAGAATTGCTTTGGCTATTTGTGTTCTTTTTTGAATTTTAGAATAGGTTTTCTAATTATGTGAAAAATGTCATTGGTAGTTTGATAGCAAGAGCATTGAATCTGTAAATTACTTTGGGCAGTATGACCACTTTAACAATATTGATTCTTCCTATCCATGAGCATGGAATATTTTTTTCACTTGTCTGTGTCACCTCTGATTTCTTTCAGCAGTGTTTTGTAATTCTCTTCACCCTGTCGCTCAGGCTGTAGTGCAGTGGCGCAATCCCGGCTCACTGCAAGCTCTGCCTCCCGGGTTCACGCCATTCTCCTGCCTCAGCCTCTCCGAGTAGCTGGGACTACGGGCGCCCGCCACCACGCCCGGCTAATTTTTTGTATTTTTGGTAGAGACGGGGTTTCACTGTGGTCTCTATCTCCTGACCTCGTGATCCGCCCGCCTCGGCCTTCCAAAGTGCTGGGATTACAAGCGTGAGCCACCGCGCCCGGCCATCACTGTAGAGATCTTTCACTGCCCGGTTAGCTGAATTCCTAGGTATTTTGTACGTGTGTGTGTGGCTATTGTGAATGGGATTGCATTATTGATTTGGCTCTCAGCTTGGACGTTGTTTGTATATAGAAATGCTACTGATTTTTGTATATTGATTTTGTATCCTGAAACTTTGTTGAAGTTGTCGATCAGATCTAGAAACTTTTGGGCAGAGGCCATGGGGTTTTCTAAGTATAAAATCATATCATCTGTGAAGAGAGATAGTTTGACTTCCTCTCTTCCTATTTGGGTACCTTTTATTTCTTTCTCTTGTCTAATGGCTCTGTCTAGGACTTCCAGTACTATGCTGAATAGGATGATGAGAGTGGGCATCTTTTGCTTGTTCCAGTTCTCAAGGGGAACGCTTCCAGCTTTTGCCAGTTCAGTATGATGTTGGCTGTGGGTTTGTCATAGATGGCTCTTATTATTTTGATGTATGTTTCTCTAATGCCAAGTTTGTTGAGGGTTTTTAACATGAAGAGATGTTGAATTTTATTGAAAGCCTTTTCTGTGTCTGTTGAGATGATCGTGTGGTTTTTGTATTTAGCTCTGTTTACGTCACAAATTACATTTGTTGATTTGTGTGTGTTGAAACAACTTTGCATTCCAGGAATAAAGGCTACTTGATTATGGTGGATTAACTTTTTGATGTGCTGCTGGATTCAGTTTGCTAGTATTTTGTTGAGGATTTTTGTTCATCAGTGATTTTGGCCTAAAGTTTTCTTTTTTTGCTGTGTCTCTGCCAAGTTTTGGTATCAGAGTGATGCTGGTCTCAAAGAATGAGTTAGAGAGGAGTCCCTCCTCCTCTCTTTTTTGGGATAGTTTCAGTAGGATAGGTACCAGCTCTTCTTTGTTGGTTTGTTAAGGGTTTCAGTTTCTTCCTAGTTCAATCTTGGGAAATTGTATGTTTCAAGGAATGCATCCATTTCTTCTAGGTTTTCTAGTTTGTGTGCAAAGTTGTTCATAATAGTTTTTGAGGGCTTTTTGTATTGCTTTCTTTTTTTAAAATTTAACAAATCTGGCTGTTCCGAAGTTCTTTTGTTTTTCGTAGGGTAAATGTTAATGTCTCCGTTGTCATTTCTGTGTTTATTTGGATCTTCTCTCTCTTTTTTTATTAGTCTAACTAGTGATCTATCAATCCTATTTTTCCTTTTTAAACTTAAAATTTTTTTTTTTTTTTCAAAAAAGAATAGAACATATCGCTATGTTGCCCAGGCTGGTTCCAAACTCCTGGCCTCAAGTGATCCTCTTGCCTTGGCCCCTCAAACTGCTAGGATTACAGGTGTGAGCCACTGAAGCCCATCCACATTTCTCTTTTTAATGTAACTCTGGGCCAGGCACAGTGGCTCATGCCTGTAATCCCACCACTTTGGGAGTCCAAGGTGGGCAATTGCTTGAGCCCAGGATCCAAGACCAGCCTGGACAACATGGTGAAATGTAGTCTCTACAAAAAGTACCAAAAAATAAAAAAGTAAAGATTAGCTGGGCATGGTGGCATGTGCCTGTAGTCCCAGCTAGCTACTCAGAAGGCTGAGGCAGGTAGATAGATTGAGCACAGGAAGTCAAGGTTGCAGTGAGCTCTGACTGTGCCACTACATTTCAGCCTGGATGACAGAACAAGACCCTGTCTCAAAAAAAAAAAAAAAAAAGTAGGTCTGTACTAAAGTGGAATGACAGGTTGTTTCAGAATGAAAAAGGAGACTAAAGGACAAAAACTGAATACGTTATAAAAATTATGTAAGGTTTGCAGAAAAGGAATCTTGGAAAAGGATATCTTGTGTGGTCAAAGCTGTCTGAGATTAGATGGATTTATTTATAAGGATTTATTAAAATCAGCTTTGTTATTAATAGTACACTTGTATAAAACTAGAAATTGGTTTTTTCTCTCTGCGCAATGACAAAGTTTTCTTAGAGAGTTGGTCTGCTCTTGGTAAGTGATCATGAAAGGTTTTTCCTTACCATTTTTTTTTTTGAAACAAGGTGTCACTCTGTTTCCCAGGCTGGAGTGCAGTGGCAGGATCATGGCCTCCACCTCCTGGGCTCAATGGATCCACCAGCCTCAGCCTTCTGAGTAGCTAGGACTACAGGCATGAACTACTACTCCAGGCTTATATATATATATATATATATATATATATATATATATATATATATAATTTCAATAGTTTTTGGGAACAAGTGGTGTTTGGTTACATGGATAAGTTCTTCTGTGGTGATTTCTGAGATTTTGGTGCACCCATTACCTGAACAGTGTACCATGCCCAGTGTGTAGTTTTATTATCCCTCACCCCCATCCCACCCTCCCACCCTTCCTCCTAGTCCCCAAAGTCCATTACATCATTCTTATGCCTTTGCGTCCTCATAGCTTAGCTTCCACAGGCTAATTTTTAAAATTTTTATAGAGATGAGGTTTTGCTATGTTGCCCATACTGGTCTCAAAGTCCTGGGCTCAAGCGATTCCCCTGCCTTGGCCTCCTAAAGTGTTGAGATTACAGGTGTGAGCCACTGCACCCAGCCAGTTTTTCCTTATCTTTAAGAAATCTGCCTCGGGTGGATCACCTGAGGTCAGGAGTTCGAGAACAGCCAGACCAACATGGTGAAACCCTGTCTCTACTAAAAATACAAAAATTTGCTGGGTGTGTTGGCAGGCACTTGTAGTCCCAGCTACTCCAGAGGCTGAGGCAAGAGAATTGCTTGAACCCAGGAGGTAGAGGTTGCAGTGAGCTGAGATCATGCCACTGTACTCCAGCCTGGGTGACAGAGCGAGACTCTGTCTCAAAAACAAACAACCAAAAAGAGATCTGCCTCCACCCAACCCCTGCTGCGCCACCATCATGGACACCAGCCATGTGCGGCATATCAAGCGAGCCTGGGGCACCATGGTACTGGGCATGACCAGCTCTCAGGGACAGTGTATGGGGATGGACATGGAATTTGTGGACAACAGGAGCCACTCCATTATCCACAATGTCAAAGGCCCTGTGTGCAAGAATGACGTGCTCACCCTGTTGGAGTCAAAGTGAAGAGGTGGCTGGGCGTGGTGGCTCACGCCTGTAATGCCAGCATTTGGGGAGGCCGAGGTGGGCGGATCACCTGAGGTCAGGAGTTTGAGACACGCCTGGCCAACAGGGTGAAACCCCATCTCTGCTAAAAATACAAAAATTAGCCAGGCATGGTGGCACATGCCTGTAATCCCAGCTTCTCGGGAGGCTGAGGCAGGAGAATTGCTTGAACCCAGGTGGCAGAGGTTGCAGTGAGCTGAGATCGCACCACTGCACTCCAGCCTGGGTGACAACAGTGAGACTCTGTCTCAAAAATGAACAAACAAATGAGAAAGTGGAGAGGCCCGGAGGTCGCACTGAACTTGGCTGCTTTGCTGGGTCTTGGATGTTTGGGTGGACCACTTGGCTCACAGGAATGATGTGCCACGATCTGCTCCTTTATTTTATTTTTTTTGCTTACCAAAGAGGAATTAAGATGCACCTTTAAATAAAGAGTTTGTGTTCTACGTTTAAAAAAAAAAAAGTAAATTTGCCTAGGAAACATCCTGTATTTTATCAAAATAATGCCATGTGCCTCATGTTGTTTTTCTAAGGTCTTTGATTACTTAAGAAAACTGAATTTTCTCAATATTAAGAGTTATGTTTTGTTCACAAATGTGTAATCTTCTGTATTTGCCTTGAAAATCTTTTATTGTTGTTTTGGTTAAATAGATAACCAGGTATTGCCTCATTGTGGTCTATGATCCTATAATCAAGTGGGTTTTTTGTTTGTTTGTTTAAAGAGACAGGGCCTCTCCCTGTTACCAAGGCTGCTGGAGTGCGGGGGCATGATCATAGCTCTCTGCATCCTCCACTCCTGGGCTCCAGGCCCAGCACTCCAGGCTCCAGCGATGCTCCTGCCTCATCCTCCCAAGTAGCTGGGACTCTAGGCACATGCCACCATGATCGGCTAATTTTTTTTATTTTTTGGAGAGATAGGGTCTCTCTATGATGTCCAGGCTGGTCTTGAACTCCAGGCCTCAAGTGATCCTCTTCCCTCAGGCTCTCAAAGTGCTGGGATTACAGACATGAGCCACCGCGCCTGGCTAATTAAGTATTTTAAATCTTATTGATAATTTCCTGAAATCAAATGGAGGTCTTTTGACCTCAAACTAACTTTGAGGATTCCCAGAGGGCTCCTAAAAAAATCTCAAAAGAATCCATTCTCTCTCCTTATCAAGGCAAGAAGGCCAGGTGTGGTGGCCCATGCCTATAATCCCAGCACTTTGGGAGGCCAAGGCAGGAGGATATCTTAAGGCCAGGGTTCAAAATCAGCCTGGGCAACTTAGCCAGACACTGTCTCTACAAAAAATTATTTTAAAACTAGCCAGGTGGGATGGTACATGCCTTTAGTTCTAGCTACTAGGAGGCTGAAGCAAGAGGATCCCTTGAGCCCTGGAGTTTGAGGCTGCAGTGAGCTAAGATTGCACAATGCACTCTAGGCTGTGCAACAGAGTAAGACTCTTTCTCAAAAAAAAAAAAAGAGAGAGAGAGAGAAAGAAAAAAGAAAGATGTTTAACTGATTAGCAGTATCTGATACATTAAATTGCATGGAAGCATGTTGAATAAGTGATGATAAACCCATATATATAATAAGTGTGTCAAAAATGTATAAAGTTTGGTTATTGTTTTACTCTGATGCTTTCCTGGAAGCTTTTGTAAGGAGCTGAGATATAATAAGATTACTTCATCTTCAAAGATAATTTATGAAAAAGACTCTGGAAAGTACTCTAAAATACAAACAAACTTTTGAAAACTTGGGATCATACCACTGGCCTGGGTAAGAATTTCTGTAGCACTAATGAAGAAACTGATGGGTTCATGAAACTTAACCCAAGATCAAGCAGAACAAGAGTTAATTACATGGGACAGAAAAAACTGATAAGGATGATTATAGTTTTTTTGATTTTCTATTTGAAACATTGCCTGTTCTTTAATATTTTGTTTTCCAGATTTAAGGAAGCCTTTTTCTCTTAACCTGTCTATAGCTTATAGCAATTTAGTAAAGTACTTTTGTAAACGGAATTGAAATACTTGCTTTTCTCTCTGACTGATTCCTCCAGAATTCAGAAAGTATTAGTGAGTATCCTTTTTTTATTTAAGACAGAGTCTTGCTCTGTTGCCCATGCTGGAGTGCAGTGGCACAATGTCAGCTCACTGCAACCTCTGCCTCCTGGGTTCAAGCGATTCTCCTGCCTCAGCCTCCTGAGTAGCTGGGACTACAGGTGCCCGCCACCACCTCCGGCTAATTTTTTGGTATTTTTAGTAGAGATGGGGTTTCACCGTGTTAGACAGGATGTTCTTGATCTCCTGACCTCGTGATCCGCCCACCTTGGCCTCCCAAAGTGCTGGGATTACAGACGTGAGCCACCATGCCTGGCCTATAGTGAATATTCTTATTTTCATGGCAATATACTTATTTGCATGAGTTTAATAAGAATCTGTTCTCCTCGTAACAAGACAAAATTGGAAACATTAGTTATCTTACCAAGGCTTTGACTGTATTATTATTATTTTTTTTGATTCAGGGTCTTGCTCTGTCACCCAGGCTGGAGTGCAGTGGTGTGATCTTTGCTCACTGCAGCCTTGACCACCTGGGCTCAAGTGATCCCTCTGCCTAAGCCTCCTGAGTAGCTGGCCCACAGGTGTGCATCACCATGCCTGGCTAAATTTTTTTTGTACTTTTCTTTTGTAGAGATGGTGTTTTGCCACATTGCTCAGGCTGTTCTTGAATTCCTAGGCTCAAGTAATCCTCCAGCCTTGGCCTCCCAAAGTGCTGGAATTACAGGAATGAGCCACTGCACCCAGCCTTGAGTGGAATATTATATTTTCAGATATGACCAGTTTTAAAGAACTAAAGTTGACTATCTGGGGAACTCGCCCCCAATATTTCAACGTAGGTTCTTTCTATTTTCCCTAAGCATTGGCTGGCTGAGAAAAAGAAAGAGTACAAAGAGAGGAATTTTACAGCTAGGCTTCCGGGGGTGACATCACATATCAGTAGGACCATAATGCCCCCCTGAGCCACAAAACCAGCAGGTTTTATTAAGGATTTTAAAAGGGGAGGGGTTGTACAAACAGGGAGTAGGTCACAAAGATCACATGCTTCAAAGGGCAAAAAGAGAACAAAGATCATAAGCTTCTAAGGCCAATAAAGATCACAAGTCAAAGGGCAAAGCAAGATCACAAGGCAAAGGGTGAAATAAAAAACTCCTGATAAGGGTCTATGTTCAGCTATACACGTGTTGTCTTGATAAACATCTTAAACAACAGAAAACAGGGTTTGAGAGCAGAGAACTGGTCTGACCTCAAATTTACCAGGGTGGGGTTTCTTCCCCAACCTAATAAGCCTGAGGGTACTGCAGGAGACCAGGGTGTATTTCAGTCCTTATCTCAACCTCATAAGACAGACACTCCCAGAGCGGCCGTTTATAGACCTCCCCCCAGGAATGCATTCCTTTCCCAGGGTCTTAATTATTAATATTCCTTGCTAGGAAAAGAATTCAGTGATATCTTCTCTACTTTCACATCCATTTATAGGCTCTCTGCAAGAAGAAAAATATGGCTCTATTCTGCCCGACCCTGCAGGCAGTCAGACCTTATGGTTGTCTTCCCTTCTTCCCTGAAAATCACTGTTATTCTGTTCTTTTTCAAGATGCACTGATTTCATATTGTTCAAACACACGTTTTACAATCAATTTTTACAGTTTAACACAATAGTGGTCCTGAGGTGATGTACATTCTCAGTTTATGAATATAACAGGATTAAGAGATTAAAGACAGGCATAAGAAATTATAAAAATATTAATTTTGGGAACTGATAAATGTCCATATTAAAATGAAATCTTCACAATTTATGTTCAGGGATTGCAGTAAAGACAAGAGTAAGAAATTATAAAAGTATTAATTTTGGGAACTGATAAATATCCATGAAATCTTCACAATTTATGTTCCTCTGCTGTGGCTCCAGCTGGTCCCTCCATTTGGGGTCCCTGACTTCCTGCAACAGTTGACTTTAAGGAACTAATGTTTATAAAGCCCCTTAGAAAAACTAGCCTCTAGGTGCAGCAAACCACCATGGCACATGTATACCTATGTAACAAACCTGCACATTCTGCACATGTATCCTGGAACTTAATGTAAATTTTAAAAAAATTAAAAAAAGAAAAACCAGCCTGATAAATGGCTTTCAATGGTTTCTGGCCCTACAGGTGAGTAAAAATGGTCACTTCCTGGTAGGCTAAGGAAACTGCAGATACTTTGGGGACCTCAAGAAGAGAGGAATTCACCCAAATATATAAGTACTGCAGTCAAATTCTGATGGCCAGTCATTTGCTTGGCTTCCTAGCCTTCAGAGGTTTTTAAAAGTGTAAAATTTTTAGAGTTTCAACAAAGCAGACCTAAGGAAAGCCTATAAAATCAACCACTATTCTTGCTGCACTTATGTAAACAATCAAGCAAGTTTAATGAGACTAAACTTATTTTGGAAAGAAATTAGTCTTATTGTCATTGTCTTTGGCAGAAATGAGAGTGAATGTAGAGAGAAAAATCGTGTTTCAGTAGAAAACTATAGCACGTGTGGATATCAAATACTAGCCCTGTTCATTGTCTTTGAGGTTTTATTATCTACTTGTAAACTGGATGTGTAAACCTGAATTAATCTACTTTCCTCCAATGTCTAGCTATGATTCTCCAAACAAACATGTCCAATTTTCCACCCTTGTGACTTGAAATCACTAATAACACTAACTGCCTGTATTGGCTGGGCATGGTGGCTCACACCTGTAATCCCAACACTTTGGGAGGCCCAGGGGGGTGGATCACGAGGTCAGGAGTTCAAGACTAGCCTGGACAAGATGGTGAAACCCCATCTCTACTAAAAAAAATTAGACTGGGTGTGGTGGCTCATGCCTGTAATCCCAACACTTTGGGAGGCCCAGGGGAGTGGATCACGAGGTCAGAAATTCAACACCAGCCTGGACAAAATGGTGAAACTCCGTCTCTACTAAAAAAGTATTAGACCGGGTGTGGTGGCTCATGCCTGTAATCCCAGTACTTTGGGAGGCCAAGGCAGGTGGATCATGAGGTCAGGAGTTTGAGACCAGCCTGGCCAATATGGTGAAACCACGCCTCTACTAAAAATACAAAAAATATTAGCCAGGTGTGGTGGCACGTACCTGTAGTAGTCCCAGCTACTCAGGAGGCTGAGGCAGAAGAATTGCTTGAACCCAGGAGGCAGAGGTTGCAGTAAGCCGAGATCACACCACTGCACTCCAGCCTGGGCAACACAGCGAGACTCTGTCTCAAAAACAACAACAACAACAACAACAACAACAACAACAACAACAGCAACAACAATAACAAAAAACTAAAAAAATTAGCCAGGCACAGTGGCAGGCACCTGTAATCCCAGCTACTCGGGAGGCTGAGGCAGGAGAATCACTTGAACCCAGGCAGCAGAGGTTGCAGTGAGCTGAGATCATGCCACTGCACTCCAGTCTGGGCCACAGAGCGAGGCTCTGTCTTAAAAAAAAACAAAAACAAACAAACAAACAAAGAACAGAACAAAACAAAACAAAACAAAAAACTGCCTGTATTAGTCAGGGTTCTCTAGAGAGAAAGAACTAATAGGATATATATTATATATATATCCATAAACATATCCATATATATAATATATATCCTTATATATATCCATATATATAATATATATCCTTATATATCATATATAATATATATGTCCATATATAATATATATCCTTATATATATCCATATATATAATATATATATCCATTATATATATCCATATATAATATATATATCCATTATATATAATATATATCCTTATATGTATCCATATATATAATATAGATCCTTATATAGATCCATATATAATATATATCCTTATATATCCATATATTATATATAATCCTTATATATATCCATATATATCCATATATATATCCATATATATATCCATATATATCCATATATATATCCATATATATATCCATATATATCCATATATATATCCATATATATATCCATATATATCCATATATATCCATATATATATCCATATATATCCATATACATATCTCCATATATATCCATATATATCTCTCCATATATATCCATATATATATCCATATATATCCATATATATATCCATATATATCCATATATCTATCCATATATATCTATCCATATATATCCATATATATCTATCCATATATATCCATATATACATCCATATATATCCATATATACATCCATATATATCCATATATACATCCACATATATATATCCATATATACATCCACATATATATATCCATATATATGCACATATATATCCACATATATATCCATATATATCCACATATATATCCATATATATACACATATATATCCATATATATATCCACATATATATCCATATATATATCCATATATATATCCATATATATATGGATATATATATATATATAAGGGAGTTTATTACGGTGTATTAAACTCACAGGATCACAAGTTCCCATAATAGGCCGTCTGCAAGCTGAGGAGCAAGGAAGCCAGTCCGAGTTCCAAAGCTGAAGACCTTGAAGTCCAATGTTTGAGGGCAGGAAGCATCCAGCATGAAAGAAAGATATAGGCTAGGAGGCTAGGCCAGTCTAGTGTTTTCATGTTTTTCTGCCTGCTTTATATGCTAGTTGTGCTGCCAGCTGATTAGATGGTGCCCACCCAGATTAAGGGTGAGTCTGCCTTTCACAGCCCACTGACTCCAATGTTAATCTCCTTTGGTAACACCCTCATAGACACACCCAGGATCAATACTTTGCATCCTTCAATCCAATCAAGTTGACACTCAGTATTAACCATCACACTGCCCTTTTCCCAAAGCTCTGCAAGTTTATATCAAGTGGAAAACTTGATATAAACTTTAGAGACATCACCATAACAACTCAGGTATGGACAACCTTCGTGCCTAATGCTGTATGGGCCACTCAGAAAATTCACTATGATACCACCACAACACTCAAATTACAAGATATGCTTCAAGCCTCAAATCTATAAATCTCCACTGTCTGCTCTCCAGACTCAGAAACTGAGTTTATAATTTGCTCCAACCATTAACCTTTGTTTTTCTTTTGTTTCCATAGAAATGTTCTTATTAAATTATTCTTTTTTTTTTTTTTTTTTTGAGATGGGAGTCTTGCTCTGTCACAGGCTGAAGTGCAGTGGTGCAATTTTGGCTCACTGCAACCTCTGCCTCCTGGGTTCAAGCAATTCTCCTGCCTCAGACTCCCAAGTAGATGGGATTACAGGCAGGTGCCACCACGCCCAGCTAATTTTTGTATTTTTAGTAGATACGGGGTTTCACCATGTTGGCCAGGATAGTCTTGGTCACCTGACCTCATGATATGCCCGCCTCGGCCTCCCAAAGTGCTGGGATTACAGGCGTGAGCCACCATGCCTGGCCTAAATTATTATTATTACCATATAGAGGCCTAATTTTGGTGGGAGCCCACCTGCCACATTCAAATGGACAGAGTCATTTAAGTGGACTGAACTATTCCCCAAACTGAGAGACTAGTTCAATGGATTATGGAACAATCTATCAACTCAGCTTTTGGACTGTGAAATTTCTTGGGGAAGTGTCATAAGAGGGAATGCTGGGGTTCAAGACATGCTACCCAAAATATGCTACCTTGGTATACTGAATAACAGCAGGAGCAGAAAGGTCACTCTCACCCTCCTCCCACCCTTCTTCCCTGAAGCAGGTCATAAAATCTAGGAAGAATTTTCTGACCTCCCCCTAAAGCTCGTCATAAGACCCTCATATAAGAGGTGTCTTTTCTGTAGCTTTAGGGAAGGAATATTCTTCTCTCTGAAGATGAAGTGTGACAGAGAAAAGTCTGAACAAACAGGTCTTTTTAATTTTAATTTTAATTTTAATTTTAATTTTTAGAGATGAGATCTTGCTATATCACTCAGGCTAGAGTACAGTGGCATGATCATAGCTCACTGCAGCCGTGAACTCCTGAGCTCAAGAGATCCTCGTGTCTCAGCGTCCTGGGTAGCTGAGACCACAAGTGACTCATTACCATACCTGGCTATTCTTTATTATTATTTTAAGAAACAGGGTCTTGCTATATTGGCTAGGCTAATCACAGGCATGATCATAGTGTACTTCAGCCTTGAACTCCTGACCTCAAGCAACCCTCCTGCCTCAGCCTTCTGAATAGCTGGGACTACAAGTGCACACCACCATGCCTGACTTGATGATTCTTTATTTCAGATCCTGCCTTTTCTTTCTGCCCTTGGATTCGACAATTCCAGACTATCCCAGTTCTCTTGCAAAGCCTTAGACTCTGGTTCCTGATTGTTCCTATGTCCATACAACACAGGTCAGCCAGGTGAGGTGATTCATGCTTGTAATCCCAGCACTTTAGGAGTCCGAGGCAGGTGGATTGCTTGAGCTCAGGAGTTTAGAGACCAACCTGGGCAACATGGAAAAATCCTGTCTCTACAAAAAAACACACACACAAAATTAGCTGGGCACGGTGGCATGTGCCTGTAGTCCTGGCTACTCAGGAGGCTGTGATGGGAGGATAGCTTGAGCCTGGGAGGCAGAGGTTGCAGTAACCTGTGATCACTCCACTGTACTCCAGCCTGGGTGACAGAGCCAGACCCTGTCTCAAAAAACATAAACAAAAACAAACAAACAAACAAACAAAAAAAGACGTAGGTCATCATTCTCCACCCACTTCTTTTTCCAGCCTCATCTTGCATGAGATACTGAGCCCTTAAAATGGAGCTAGTTCAAGTTGAGATATCCTTTAAATTATAGTCAATAAACCAATGTAACATATTAACAAGACTAAAAAAGAAAAACTGTATGGTAATCTCTCAATACATGCAGAAAAAGCATGTAACAAAGTCCAATATCCATTTCAGACCTAAAACAAATGTCAGGCCAGGCGTGGTGGCTCATGTCTATGATCCCAGCACTTTGGGAGGCCAAGGCAGGAGGATTGCTTGAGCCCAGGAGTTCAAGATCAGCTTGGGCAACACAGGGAGACCCTGTCTCTAGAAACAAATTAAAACATTAGTCGAGCATGGTGGTGCATACCTGTGGTCCCAGCTAGTTGGGAGGCTAAGGTGGGAGGATCACTAGAGCCTAGAAGGCCGAGGCTACAGTGAGCCATGATAGCACCACTGCACTGCAGCCTGGGCTACCAAGTGAGACCCTTTCTCAAAAAAAAAAAAAAAAAAAAAAACAAATAAATAAAAATTAGGCCAGGCCAAGTGGCTCACGCCTGTGATCCCAGCACTTTGGGAGGCCGAGGTGGGCACATCACAAGGTCAGGAGATCCTGGCCAACATGGTGAAACCCTATCTCTACTAAAAATACAAAAATTAGCTGGGCATGGTGGCACATGCCTGTAGTCCCAGCTACTCGGGAATCTGAGGCAGGAGAATTGTTTGAACCTGGGAGGTGGAGGTTGCAGTGAGCTGAGATTGCACCACTGCACTCCAGCCTGGTGACAGAGTGAGACTCTGTCAAGACTCCGTCTCAAAAAAAAAAAAAAAAAAAAAATTAGTTGGGCATGGTGACACAAGTCTGTAGTCCCAGCTACTCGAGAGGCTGAGGTGGGAGGATCCTTTGAGGCCAGGAGTTAAAAGTTGCAGTGAGCTATGATTGCTCCCCTGCACTCCAGCTGGGCAACAGAACGAGACCCTGTCTCGAAATATATAAATAAATAAGTAAACGTATGTCAGTGAATTAGAAATAAAATGGATTTTCTCAATGTGATATAAAGCATCTACATAAAACATACAGATAATATCATGAATGGTAAAAGATTAAAGGTTTTTCCCTAAGTATAGGAACAAGGCAAAGATATCCATTCTCATACATTTTTTTCTTTTCTTTTTTTTTTTTTTTGAGATGGAGTCTTGCTCTGTCACCCAGGCTGGAGTGCAGTGGCTCGATCTCGGCTCACTGCAAGCTCTGCCTCCCAGGTTCACGCCATTCTCCTGCCTCAGCCTCCCAAGCAGCTGGTAATACAGGCACCCGCCACCATGCCCAGCTAATTTTTTGTATTTTTAGTCGAGACTGGGTTTCACCATGTTAGCCAGGATGGTCTCGATCTCCTGACTTCGTGATCCGCCAGCCTCAGCCTCCCAGGGTGCTGGGATTACAGGCGTGAGCCACTGCACCTGGCCCAAATTTTTTTTTTCAATATTGTACTAGGAGTTCTAGCCAGTGCAATAAGGCAAGAAAAAAAAAACTGGAAAGATTCAAATTGTGAAGGAAGTGGTAAAACTGCTTATATCTGATTGCTCAAACAGAAAATCCTTTGACATTAAAAAAAAGAAAGTTACTAGAACTGGAAAATAAATTTGGAAAGTCACCAGGATACAAGATTAACATACAAAAATCAATTTCTTTCTTTTCTTTTCTTTTCTTTTTTTTTGAGACAGAGTTTTGCTCTTGTTGGCCAGGCCACAGTGCAATGGCATAATCTTGGCTCACTGCATCCTCTGCTTCTCGGTTTCAAGCAATTCTCCTGCCTCAGCCTCCTGAGTAACTGGGATTACAGGTGTCCGTCACTATGCCTGGCTAATTTTTGTATTTTTAGTAGAGATGGGGTTTCACCATGTTGGCTGGGCTGGTCTCGAACTCCTGACCTCAGGTGATCTACCTGCCTTGGCCTCCAAAGTGCTGGGATTACAGATGTGAGCCACCATGCCTGGCCAATTTTATTTCTTTTTTTTTTTTTGAGACAGAGTCTTGCTGTGTAGCCCAGGCTGGAGTGCAGTGGTGCAATCTCAGCTCACTGCAAGCTCCGCCTCCTGGGTTCATGCCATTCTCCTGCCTCAGCCTCCCAAGTAGCTGGGACTACAGGCGCCCGCCACCATGCCTGGCTAATTTTTTATATTTTTAGTAGAGACGGGGTTTCACCGTGTTAGCCAGGATGGTCTCGATCTCCTGACCTCGTGATCCACCCGCCTCGGCCTCCCAAAGTGCTGGGATTACAGGCGTGAGCCACCGCATCCTGCCCCAATTTTATTTCTTTATGCTAGTAATAAACAATCAAAAACTGAAACTAGAAATCCAGTTACAATAATATATTTTAAAAATACATCAAAACATATAAAATGCTTAGGGAATATTCTGGTAAAAGATTTGCAAGACATATCTAGTAAAATACTACAAAACATTGATAGAAGGAATTAAGTCTTTTTTTAATTTATTTTTTCATTGTAAAATCATGAGCCAAAAAAAGACCATAACTAAATAACTGAAGACCATAACATTTATATGGAAATGCAAATAACCTAGATTAGGAAAAATGACTCTGAAAAAGGGCAAAGTTGGAGAACTGATACTATCTGACTTAAGATTCATTACAAATTCATGGAAGTCAAGATAATGTGATTATAGATAGCATCAATATAGGCAAATAGGGCAAGTAGAAATAAACCCATACATATATGGTCTCTTGATTGTGAACAAAAGGTCAAGTACAAGTCAGTGTCTTTTTAACAAATGGAACTAGAAAAATTGAATATCCATGTGCAAAAAAAAAGTTTCAATGCATACTTGGTGCCATGTACAAACATTAATTAAGAATGGATCAGAGACATAAATTTGAACCTAAAACTATAAACATTTAGAAGAAAACATAGGAAAAATATTGTAGTCTTGGACTAGGCATAGTTCTTACATATGATATAAACAATTCATAAAGAAAATTTTAAAAATTTGATTTTTTCAAAAAATTTAGAACTCTTTCTCTTCAAAAAACACTGCTAAGGAATGAAAAGACTAGCCAGACACTGAGAAGTGTATTTGCTAATCACATATCTGATAAAGCACTTATATCCAGAAAGGAAATTATTTCAGAGAAGAAATCAGTGCTTGTTTTGGGATGGATGAGCTAGGTGGGGAATTGCAAAGGAGCACAGGAGAACTTTTTTTTTTTTTTTTTGAGATGGAGTCTCACTCTTTCACCCAGGCTGTAGTGCAGCAGCACAGTCTCCTCTTACTGCAACCTCTGCCTCCTGGGTTCAAGTGATTCTCATGCCTCAGCCTTCTGAGTAGCTTGCATTACAGGTGAGCACCACAACACCCAGCTAATTTTTTGTATTTTTAGTAGAGACGGGGTTTCACCATGTTGGCCAGGCTGGTTTCGAATTTCTAACCTCAGGTGATCCACCCACCTCAGCCTTTGGGATTACAGGTGTGAGCCACTGCACCCGGCCAGGAGAACTTTTGAGGTAAATATAGGATATTTTCATTACTTGATTGTACTGATGTGGTTTCATGGATATATAAAACTTATTAAATTGTATACTTTATATTATATATGGTTTATTGTATACCAGGTAAACTCAGTAAAACATAAAAATATAAAAACTTACTACATTTCAAAGACAATATTATAAAAATCTTCACAATAATTTTTATACTGATTACAGCCTGAAATAACATTTTGGATCTATTAAAGTTAATTTCACCTGCTTCTTTTCAACTTACTAATCTAGCTTCTACAATTTAAAATTTGGTACATAAGCAAACTGCAATTAAGTGAGAAATCAATAATAAAATATAGCACCCCAAACATCCTATATAAATAAGGAAACTTCAAAATGTATTTGTGTAGAAGCACTTCTAGAATAATGGAGTAATTGAGGCTGGGCACAGTGGCTCATGCCTGTAATCCCAGCGCTTTAGGAGGTTGAGGTGGATGGATCACTTGAGGTTAGGAGTTCGAGACCAGCCTGGCCAACATGGTGAAATCCCATCTCTATTAAAAAAAAAAAAATTAGCTGGGCATGGCAGTGCACGCCTGTAGTCCAGCTACTTGGGAGGCTGAGGCAGGAGACTCACTTGAACCTGGGAGGCAGAGGTTGCAGTGAGCCAAGATCGTGCCACTGCACTCCAGCCTAGGTGACAGAGCAAGACTCCATCTTGAAAAAAAAAAGAATAATGGAGTAAGGACCTATGAAAATCTGTTCATTCATAAAAGGAACTTGTCTAAAAATTGTCCAAATCAAATTGTTCAAAACATTAGAAATTAACCAAAAACTTGCAGTATCTTAGAAGCATTTATTCAAGAAAAACTGATGGACTGGGCACAGTGGCTCATGCCTGTAATCCCAGCACTTTGGGAGGCTGAGGCAGGCACATCACTTGAGGTTAGGAGCTCAAGACCAGCCTGGCCAACATGGCGAAACCCCGTCTCTACTAAAAACACAAAAATTAGCTGGGCATTGTGGCACGTGCCTGTATTCCCAGCTATTTAGGAGGCCGAGGCAGGAGAATTGCTTGGACCTGGGAGGCAGAGGTTGCTGTGAGCCGAGATCACACCATTTCACTCCAGCCCGGGTGACAGAGGGAGACTCTGTCTCAAAACAAAACAAAGCAAAAACAAAAAAAGCAAAAAACAAACAAAAAAAAAAACCCTGCTGAATATCAGAAAGAACAGTGAGTTTTGTAGCTTTTAAGTTACACTATTTCCATTCTATGCTCTTTAGTTTCAGGGTAGGCTTAACTTTTATCCCCAGAGAATTGTCACTATTTAACCTGTGGCAGCTCCCTGAAAATCTCCATTCCCAAGGCCTGTCTTTATTTGACCTGAGTAGGCTCACTATGTGTGACTAGTTTTATCCCTAGGGCATTTGTTGAAAACAATCAGTGGCAATCATTTAACACTGCAGATGCCTGAGGCAGTGATACCAGTTAGAGCTAACAAGGTGACCCACCTTGTTACCCACCAAAAAACAATTAAAAAGGAAAACTGTGGAATGAGATGTTCATGTGAAAATTTGCAAAGGTTAAACATATTACTGGAAACCTAAAAGGCCATGTGCAAGTCCAATGCTCTGCTCATGTCTAGAATGAATCTTGAGGGTTCTGCATAAGCAGGAAGTGAAGGCTAAGGCACAGGGCTGGAGCTTTGAAAACATTCCAACACACGCACAGAGCAGTGCTTAATTTGAAATTTATAACGGTAGACACCTATATTTAAAAAGAAGAAAGGGCTGGGTACAGTGGCTCATACCTGTAATCCTAGAACATTGAGAGGCTGAGGCAGAAGGATCACTTGATGCCAGGAGTTTGAGACCAGCGTGGGCAACATAGTGAGACCCCATCTCTATAAAATTTTTAAAAATTAGCTGGACATGGTGGCATGCACCTGTAGTCCCAGCTACTTAGGAGGCTGAGGCAGGAAGATCCCTTGGGCCTAGGAGTTCGAGGTTGCAGTGAGCTATGACCATGCTACTGCACTCCAGCCAGGGAGGCAGAGCGAGATCCTGTCTCTGCAAAAAATAAAAAAGAAAGAAATCTCATAATTGAAAATCCAGGCCCACTTGACTTCTCAGCTGAAGTCTACCAAATCTTTTTTTTTTTTTGAGACGGAGTTTCATTTTTGTGGTCCAGGCTGGAGTGCAGTGGCGCAATCTCGGCTCACTGCAACCTCCACCTCCCAGGTTCAAGTGATTCTCCTATCTCAGCCTCCCAAGTAGCTGGGACTACAGACATGCACCATCATGCCTAGCGCATACGTATTTTTAGTAGAGACGGGTTTTCATCATGTTGGCCAGGCTGGTCTTGAACTCCTGACCTCAGGTGATTCACCCACCTCAGCCTCCCAAAGTGCTGGGATTACAAGTGTGAGCCACCACACCCAGCCCAAGTCTACCAAATTTTTGAAGAAGAATTAACACCTGTACTTCACAAACTCTCAAAAAATAAAAGAGGAGGGAACACTCCCTAAAACATTCTTTGCCAGTATTATACTGTTATCAAGACCAGACAAAAACACCACATGGAAGGAACATTTTTTTTTTTTTTTTGTCTGAGACAGGTTCTCATTCTGTCTCAGAATGCACTCTCAGGCTAGAGTGCAATGGCCCTATCTCAACTCAATGCAGCCTCAACATACCAGACTCAAGCAATCCTCCCACCTCAGCCTTCCCAGTAGCTGGTACTACAGGTGCTTGTCACCATAGCCAGCTAATATTTTTTATTCTTTGTAGAAACAGAGTCTCCCTATGTTGTCCAGTCTGGTCTCAAATTCCTGGGCTCAAGCAATACTCCCTCCTTGGCTTCCCAAAGTGCTGAGATTACAGGCATGAGCCACCACACCTGGCCCAGGTTAATGGTTAGTGGATACAAAAAAATAGAAAGAGTAAATAAGACCTACTATTTGCTAGCACAACAGGGTGATTATGGTAAAAAATTAATTTAATTGTCCATTTAAAAATAACTAAAAGAGGAGTGCAGTGACTCATACCTGTAATCCCAACACTTTGTGAGGCCAAGGCAGGCAGATCACTTGAGCTCAGAAGTTAGAGATCAGCCTGGGCAACATAATCAAACCCCATCTCTACAAAAAATACCAAAGTTAGCCGAGCATGGTAGTGTGCATCTGTAGTCCCAGCTACTTGGGAGGCTGAGGCAGGAGGCTCAAGCTCTACTTGAGCTCCAGGGCTCAAGGCTACAGTGAGCTGTGACTGTGCCATTGCACTCCAGCCTGGGCAACACAGTGAGATTTTAAAAAATGCATAACTAGGCCGAGTGCGGTGGCTCACCTCTGTAATACCAGCACTTTGGGAGGCCGAGGTGGGTGGATCACCTAAGGTCAGGAGTTCAAGACCAGCCTGGCCAACAGGGCAAAACCCTATCTCTATTAAAAACACAAAAATCAGCTGGGTGTGGTGGCAGGTGCCTGTAATCCCAGCTAGTTGGGAGGCTGAGGCAGGAGAATTGCTTGAACCTGGGAGGCAGAGGTTGCAGTGAGCTGAGATGGCACCACTGCACTCCGACCTGGGTGACAGAGCGAGAATCTGTCTCAAAAAAAAAAAAAAAAGCGTAATTAAAAGAGTGTAATTGGATTGTTTGAAACACAAAGGATAAGGGCTGGAGGTGATGCATACCCCATTTACCCTGATGTGATTATTACACATTGCATGCCTGTATCAACATATCTCATGTAAGCCGTAAATATACACACCCACTATGCACCCACAAAAATTAAAAATTAATTTTTTTTTAAGAGTTAGGGACAGATGCCTGGGCGCAGACTCACACTTGTAAACCCAGCACTTTGGGAGGCCAAGGTGGGCGGATCGCGAGGTCAGGAGTTTGAGACCAGCCTGGCCAACACAGTGAAACCCCATCTCTACTAAAAATACAAAAATTAGCTGGGCAGGAGGCTGAGGCAGGAGAATTGCTTGAGCCTGGGAGGTGGAGGTTACAGTGACCTGAGATCATGCCACTGCACTCCAGCCTGGGTGACAGAGGTAGACTGTTTCAAAAAAAAAAGTTAGGGACAGACAAAAACTTTATTAACTGATAAAGGACATTGATGAAGAAAATTACACTAACATACTGTATGATGAAAAACTAAATGCTTTTTTTCAAGTATCAGGAACAAAGCAAGGAGGTATATTTTCATCACTTCCACTCAACGTAGCACTGGAGTGAGATCAAAAAAATTACCAAGGTTGGAAGGAAAGAAGTTAAATTGTCTTTAATGGCAATAACATAAACTTTTATGTAAAAAAACCTATTGTATCTACAAAAAAACACCAAAACTAATGTGTTTACCAAGGTTGCAAGATATAAGAGCAATACACAAAAATCAATTGTATTTCTATATACTGTCAATGAAAAAAATCAAGAAATTACAATTGGAAAATATCATTCACAACAGCATCAAACAGAATAAACTAATTACCAATAGATTTACTGAAAGAAGTGCAAGACTTATT
Source organism: Homo sapiens (assembly GCF_000001405.40). Lineage (NCBI taxonomy): Eukaryota > Metazoa > Chordata > Mammalia > Primates > Hominidae > Homo > Homo sapiens. The sequence goes on from NW_018654721.1 coordinate 168,198, forward strand.
CAATGGAAACTACAAAACATTATTGAAAGAAATGTAGCCAGGTGCAGTGGCTCACATCTGTAATCCCAGCACTTTGGGAGGCCGAGGCAGATGGATCACCTGAGGTCAGGAGTTCGAAACCAGCCTGGTCAACATGGCAAAACCCCGTCTCTACTAAAAAATACAAAAATTAGCTGGGAATGGTGGCGGGCGCCTGTAATCCCAGCTACTCGGGAGCCTGAGGCAGGGAGAATTGCTTGAACCCAGGAGGCAAAGGCAGGGAGCCAAGATCACTCCACTGCACTCCAGCCTGGGCAACAAAGTGAGACTCTGTCTCAAAAAAAAGAGAAAGAAATGTAAAGACCTAAGTAAATGAAAAGATAGCCCATACTCATGGACTGGAATACTTAACATTGTTTAGATAGCAGTACTTTCCAACTTGATCTACAGACTGAATCCAATAGCTGTAAAACCTCAGCTGCCATTTTTAAAGAATTGGACAAGCTAATCCTAAAATTCATATGGAAATGCAAGGAACCCAGAATAGTGAAAGCAATCTTGAAAAAAAGTAACTAAGTTGGAGTTACTTACACACTTCCCAATTTCAAAACTTACTAAAAGCTACAGTAATCAAGATAGTGTGGTATTGGCATAAAGGCAGATACATAGATCAATGGAATAGCACTGAGAATCTACAAGTAAATTCTTCCACTTATGGTCAATTGATTTTTGACAAGCATGCCAAAAAAATAAGTAGAAAAACAATAGTCTTTTCTTTTTTTTGAGACCGAGTCTCGCTCTGTTGCCAGTCAGGAGTTGAGTGGCACAATCTCAGCTCACTGCAACCTCCACCTCCCAGGTTCAAGCGATTCTCCTGCCTCAGCTTCCCGAGTAGCTGGGACTACAGGCATGTGCCACCACACCCAGCTAATTTTTTTGTATTTTTAGTAGAGATGGGGTATCACCATGTTGGCCGGGATGGTCTTGATCTCTTGACCTCATGATCTGCCTGCCTTGGCCTCCCTAAGTGCTGGGATTACAGGCGTGAGTCACCGCGCCTGGCCAACAATAGTTTTTTCAATGTATGTTCCTGGGACAACATGATATCCACATGCGCAAGAATGACACCTACAAACATGAAATTGAATCTCACACCACTTACAAAAATTAACCAAAAACAGATAATCAATTTATAAGAGTTAAAACATAAATCTCTTAGAAAAAAATCTAGGGGGATATCTTTGTGACCTTGTGTTAGGCAATGATTTCTTAGAGAGGACACCATAAGCACAAGCTATAAAATAGGAAAGAGATAATTAAACTTCATCAAAAGTAAAAACTTTTGAGCTTTAAAAACTCCCCAAGAAAGTGAAAAGACAACCCACTTGAGTGGGAGAAAATATTTGCAAATTATATACCTGATAAATGTTTAGTATCCTTAATATATAAAGAATTCTTGCAGCTGGGCATGGTAGCTCACGGCTGTAATCCCAGCACTTTGGGAGGCTGAGGCGGGTGGATCACCTGAGGTTAGGAGTTTGAGACTAGCCAGGCCAACATGGTGAAACCCTATCTTTACTAAAAATACAAAAATTAGCTGGGCATGGTGGCACATACCTGGAATCCCAGCTACTTGGGAAGGTGACACAGGAGAATCACTTGAACCCAGGAGGCAGAGGTTGCAGTGAGCCGAGATTGTGCCACTGCATGCCAGCCTGGGTGACAGAGCAAGACTCTGTCTCAAAAAAAAAAAAAAATTATTGCAACTCAACTACAACAAAAAGATGGCCCAATTAAGAAATGTGCAGGCCGGGCGCGGTGGCTCACGCCTGTAATCCCAGCACTTTGGGAGACCGAGGCAGGTGGATCACCTAAGGTTGGGAGTTCGAGACCAGCCTAACCAACACAGAGAAACCCTGTCTCTACTAAAAATACAAAAATTAGCCGGGTGTGGTGGCGCATGCCTGTAATCCCAGCTACTTGGGAGGCTGATGCAAGAGAATTGCTTGAACTTGGGAGGCGGAAGTTGTGGTGAGTCGAGATCGTGTCATTGCACTCCAGCCTGGGCAACAAGATTGAAACTCTGTCTCAAAAAAAAAAAAAAAAAAAAAAAAAAAAAAAAGAAAGAAAAAGAAAAAAAGAAAAGAAATGGGCAAAGGATTTTTTTTTACAGCAAAGAAAGCAGCAAAAGTTTATTAAGCACAGTATTACACTCTCACAGGGGGAGAGCGGACTGATCTCAGCAAGATGAGATCAGCCAAGAAATTGGCAAAGGATTTAAATAGTCATGACTACAAACAACATATACAGTAAGCCCTTCATATCCATGGGTTCTACATTTGCAGTTTCAATTAACAGCAGATTGAAAATATTTGGGGCTGGGCACAGTGGCTCATGCCTGTAATCTCAGCACTTTGGGAGGTTGAGGCAGGTGGATCACTTGAGCTCAAGTGTTTGAGACCAGCCTGGGCAACAAGGCGAGTCTTCGTCTTTCAAAAAAAAAAAAAAAAAATTAGCCAGGTGTGGTGGTGCATGCCTGTAACCCCAGCTGCTCCAGAGGCTGTGGTGGGAGGATTCCTTGAGCCCAGGAGGTTGAGGCTGCCATGAGCCATGATCATGCCACTGCACTTCAGCCTGGGTGACAGAGTGAGACCCTGTCTCAAGGGAAAAAATACACATTTGGGAAAAAATAAAATAAAGATAACATACAACAATAAAAAATAATACAAATTAAAAAATACAGTACAACACCTAGTTAGACCATATTTACATTATGTTAGGTATTGTAAGTAATCTAGAGATAATCTAAAGTATATGGGATGGGCCTGGTGAGGTGGTTCACACCTGTAATCCCAGCACTTTGGGAGGCTGAGGCGGGTGGATCACCTGAGGTGAGGAGTTCAAGACCAGCCTGGCCAACATGGTAAAACCTGTCTCTACTAAAAATATAAAAATTAGCCAGGCATGGTGGCAGGTGCCTGTAATCCCAGCACTTTGGGAGGCTGAGGTGGGAGGATTACTTGAGCCCAGGAGTTCAAGATCAGCCTGGGGAACAAAGTGAGACCCCCGTCTACCTCAAAAATCAAAACTGAGGCTTAGGCAGGAGAATTACTTGAACTTGGGAGGCAGAGGTTGCAGTGAGCCAAGATCATGACACTGCACTCCAGCCTCGGCAACAGAGTGAGACTCCATCTCAAAAAATAAATAAATAAATAAATAAATAAAAATAAAGTGTATGGGAGGATGTTCATAGGCTATATGCAAATACTATGCCATTCTGTATAAGTGAGACGAGCATCCTTGCATTTTGGTATCATCGTGTGTTTCTGAAACCAATCTTTTGCAGATACCAAGGGAAGACTATGTAAGTAGCCAATAAATACAAAAAAAGATGTTCAATATCAGTGGGCATTAGAAAAACTCAACTGAAACTCCAATGAGATGCCACTTACGATAGTACCACAATGAGATATTAGAATGGCTATAATAAAAAAAGACCAACAATAAATATTGGATAGCATGTGTAGAAATTAGAACCCTCATATATTGCTGATGGACATGTAAAATGGTGCTGCCCCTTCAAAAAAAAGTCTGGGGCCAGGCATGGTAGCTCACACTTGTA